>NW_018654725.1:0-48370 GCF_000001405.40 Homo sapiens | reverse complement strand
TTCAAAAGTTTATAAATCTGCCTTTTGTAGACTTGCTTGTAATGGAATCAGGTTCATTTTACAAAGCTTACAAAGATCTCAGTTGTCTGGAATAGCAAGTGAAGATGTTGTCATTGGATACCATTGAAATTATGTTTTTTCCAAGAAGTTCAGAACTCTTGTTTATAAAATGTCCAAGTCTTTGTGCAAAATGATATAAGCCACTTTTTTTCTCCAGAGTCTCAGAGTCAAAGAAGTTCTCATGTTAAAAAATAAACTTCAGGGGAGTATAGACTGTATACAGTTTTTTAAGAGGTAGAAATAGAGAGGATATTTTCTAAACCCTTCAGTTGTAGTTGTGGAGACCTGGTATTTAAATATCCCAATTTAAATATTTTTGAAAGTTTCACTCTTCTACTAGGTAATTTTAGCTCATATGGACACCATCATTCTAATGGCTTCAGGACAAAGCTTTGTCTCCCCTTAGTTAAAACCAATGTTAATCCATAGGTCTGGCCACATCAAGGAAATATTTGCAGAGCTACAACTGCTATACTTGTCCAGATTAGCTTAAGAGTTTTATTTTATTTTTTACCCTAGCATTAGGCAATATCTTTTATAGACAAAAGGTAGATAATGGCTGCCATCAGAGATAACCTAAAGGCCAAATACTTCCTTGAACTCTGCAACGTCTTAACAACACTCAAATATTAGAGGTACAGAAACACAATGAAGAATGGAGGCTAGATCAGAACCTCTGTCTCATTAATAAGGCTGTTGAAAACCCAAAACATTAGTAAAGGAGAGAATTAATCCCATCTCCTTCTTTCCCATTCCCAAAACACTCAAACATCTAAAAGGATCACTGGACATTATAAGTTTTTGAGGATGATGGATACCAAGGTTTGGTGAAACAGCTATTTCTTTATATTATCTTATAAAAGAATCTCAAGCAGCTTTGGCTTTCTTCCTGACATAGGAAACTAAAACTCAAATACCTTAACCAGATCAAACAAACCTGACAAAAAGCACTGGCCCTCAGTGTACCCACAAATAAGTCATTGCATCTTTATGTCTTATAAAAGAAAGGGATAGCTTAGGAGTTTTAACTCAAGCTTGAGATTTGGCCCAGCAACCACTAAGTTACATAAACATAGAGCTTGACTGGGTGGCTAAAGCATAGACAAGTTGCCTCCAAGCAGTTGTAGTGGTGGTCTTGCATGTACTGCAAGCCAGTAAGTTGAGCATGGGGAATATTCTAACTGATTACACCCCACGTAATGTAGGGTGTCCTCTAAAGGAAGTCTCTGGATAACAGATAATCACCTTGTCAAAGATCAAACTTTGCTTCTAAGGAATCTGCAGTTCCATTAAAAAACCCATAACCTATTCCCTTTCCTTTAAGAAGTAACCTGAAGAACCTGAACATGACTGTGAACAGGTAGTAGTGAAAATCTGTGCAGCCAGAAAGAACCTAAAACTAATTTCTTTAGAAAAATAGTCTGAACTTTCATTAGAGGGAAAAGTTATTTTGTAAAACAAATACCTCTAAGGCAGTGTGTGCAATATTCACCCTGATTTATATACTTGACAGCATGCCTCTATGACAAAGCACAAGACTTATTAGCTATGTTAATTGTCTTTTAACCATTTAGAGAAAAAGGCAGTGGACACATACTGATTCTAGGTATGCTTCTTCTGGCTCTCTATGCCCATGCCACTATTTAGAAAAAAAAAAAAGACATTTCCTGACTGCTAATGGGTCTTACATTAAATATCACCAGGAAATAGATTATTGTCCTCAGTTTTTCTTTTTTCTCCTTTCTTTCTGGGAAGTAGCAGTAATATATTACAGAGGACACCAGAAAATGATTAATAAAATAGCCAAAAGCAAAAAAATAGGTTGCCAAGTCAGTAGCAAAAAGAGCCCAAGTTCCCAGAATATTTAAAGCCTTTCTTATTTGGGAAAGTATTATAGAAGAAATAAAGCCTCAGTATCTCCCTGCAAAGATAGAATGGGCTACTTCTGGAGAATCAATTTTTCAGACTGTTGTATGGTTACAAATGAAAGGCAGAAAACCCCACTTGTCAGCGTCCAGTCAGTGGAAAGTTCTTAATGTCCTTCAGCAAACTTTTCACTTTACAAAGAACATAACTTATCAACTGATCCAGAGAATGTTCTCCAGTAAAAATCTACTGAAAATAGTCAAACAGTTTGTAAATGCATGTGAAATATAACTTAAAAATAATCCCCCCAACAGATAGCTTCTCCTCCCTCAAGCTCAAAAAAATGGAAAGAATCCTAGGGGAAGGTTGGCATATAGACTTTACCCATACACCCAAAATACAGAAAACCCAGTATCTGCTGGTATAGGTAGACAGTATCCCTAATTGTATGGAGGCATTTTTATGTAGAACAGAAAAATCCTCTGAGGTAGTAAAAGAAATATTTGAAAAAATAATTCTTTGCTCTGGCCTCCCTCAGTGCCTCCAAAACAACAATGGCTCCTCATTTAAAGCCACCATTACCCAGCGAGTTTCAAGAACTCTGGGCATAGAATATAATCTTCATTGTGCCTGGAGACCACAGTCTTCAGAAAAGGGGAAGAAAATAAATTATATCATCAAGAGATTCCTCAGGAAGCTTCCTCAAGAAACTCATCTCTTTTCAATTACTCTTTTTCATGGCCTTAGTGACAGTGAAGTACATCCCTACAAAGCTGGCTTTGAACTACTTTAAATTTATTATGTATGGCCTTCTCTTAACATTGATATTTTAGTAGATGAGTGACTTCTGAATTTTTTAAACATATAAACTCCCTGACCCCACTTTCAAGAGGAATGAAAACATCTTCAGAAGTACAACCCCAAAAATCCAAATCCCCCTCTATTCAACCCAGAAGAGTTGGTACTGGGGTAGGCTCCTCCTCTTTCTCTCCTGTCCCTACACCCCAGTTGGGAGGGACCTAATACTATTCTTCTCCTTACTCCCTCAGCTGTGAAGATGGTGGAAATTGACTCATATTTATTTCACTCGAGTGAAAGCCTGGAAAACAGTGAAAGCAGTCCCTGACAGTCTAGAAGTATTACAATAAAAAATCAGATACAATTATCTAATACACAATACTTATAGAAATTACGTTTCTTACTTTACCTCTTGCAGTGGGGTTATAAACTGAAGCACCTTCTGAGTGAAGTATCAAACAGAGAGTCTCAATTACCATAATATTTTACTTAATCATTATTATTATAGCAAAAATAGTAGTGACAAATAAAAAATAAACATGAAGATTTTGTTACTGTCAAGTTTACTAACATTTACTGTTAGATGTAGCACTGACACGCACCCCAAGGTCCCTACAATATTAGCCATTGCCCATCTATACAAGAAGACAAACTTCTAGGTTTGCCTTGAAAAATTTTATCAGATTTAAAACAGACGCTTTAATTATATGAACTCAATATATTAGTATTCTATCTGTTAGTTTCACCTTTAACAATTAAGCACTTGAGAGGGATGAATGGAATCTTGTATGGAATCACTTTTAACTCCATCCAGAAAGACGTATTTCTCGAATGTAAGACTCAAACTCTTAGGCTAGGTGAAGTTGATAGAATAATAGCAAACACCTTTCTCTGCTTTAGAGGCAAAAGGAACCACACTTGGAGAATCTCAAATATGGCAATGCCATCTTGTAATTGCTGAGAGTGTGGAGATCTGGAGAGTAAAAGCACAGGTGACCTCAAACCTTGGGAAAGACTATGAAAAAACATTAACAATCTAACCAGACTTTTCCTTTGGTATTTCTAGTAGAAATTATTACCCATAGGCAGAAATGTTGCCTCTTTCCAACATTATTATCAGATAATAAATAATACTTGTTTCCAACCAAATGTGCCCACAGATGGAATCCTGAACCCTTGTATAATATATTATAATGGTGGCATCCTACATGTATGCAGGAGAACTGGAAACATCTGAACTAATAGCCCCTGTAATGAGGATTACCAGAGATACTGGGCAGAACATGCTGTGTCTCTGATTTTCTGAAACTCCACCTGCCAAAAAGATTATTCCAAACCAGCAGGCAGAATTCCAGTCAACACGCTGAATAACTGTACTGAGTATGGATATTACATCTCCTCTTAGACATAGGAGGGGCAACTTTACAAGATATAAACTAAATCTAGCAGGAACCCTCACAAATGACAACTTAGAACCATCTGTTTAGGAAGTGGGGCTTTACTTTCTCTGTGGCCCCTGGCTACATTTAATCCTCCCTGGGCACTAAATGGGAACAGGTACTATAATAATAGTGATCCTGGTATGTTACTTTTATATTTCACCAAAATGACACCATCATCTGGTGACATTTTCAGTTGAGACCCTTTTTCGGAGTAGATTCTCTTGCACACACAAAAATAAATCACTTGTCTCTATGCCATCACATGGAGTTTTGAGGGAGAGAATTGAGGAAAATATGACACTATAATCCTATACTGTAAAAATTAAAATTGAAACATGCAAGACCAGGTGGCCTATTTTGATTTCTCTGTATACTTTTCTTGAAAAATTAGCCATTAGTATTTTCATCATGATGCAACAAGGGTGGAAGGCAACTGTAGAAGCCACAGAAGCCTAATGCCAATTGGTAAATCTCCTAGCCTCAGTGATAATGCAGAATAATTAAACTCTGGATGGCTTTTTGGCCTGAGTAGAGAATGCCTATGCACTATCCAATGAGACATGCTGCTTCTGAATCAGCACTTTTAGTCAGGTAAAAATATAAAGAAATAAATACAAGTGCTAAATGACCTACTTAAAATCGTCAGTGGACTGAAAGAAAGTGAGGACTCTGTTCCAGTTGGCTACAATCTTTTCTTAATAGATTTAAGTCTTCTCTTTAGACCTAACTAGCTCCTTTGTTAAGACCTCTTTTCCTTGTATATGTGGTGTTAATGTTTGGACCATCTATACTCAATGGTATAACCAGAATTATTTCTTCTCATCTAGAGGCTATCAAGCTCCAAATGGTGATGTGTGGATTCACTTATCTACTGAGGACACTTATACCAGCCCCAGAAGAGACCCTAACTTCTGTAACTTAAATAATACTTATCTTTAGAAAAAAGTAACCAGAAATATTGTCACTCCAATTTTTTTTTAATTGAGATAAAGTCTCGCCATGTCACCCATGCTGGAGGTACAATGACATGATCTCACCTCACTGAAACCTCTGCCTCCTGGGTTCAAGCAATTCTCCTGCCCCTGCCTCCGGGGTAGCTAAGATTATAGGTGTGTGCACCACACCTGGCTAATTTTTTGTACCTTTAGTAGAGAAGGGGTTTCACCATGTTGACCATGCTGGTCTCAAACTCCTTAGCTCATGATCCACCCTCCTCAGCCTCCCAAAGTGATTGGATTACAGGCATAAGGCACTGCACCCAGCCCATCACTCCACTTTCCTAACAGCAGTTAGTGTCTCCATTCCTGAGAGAGAAAATAACAGAGAAATGTTAAGCAGTTATGGTGGAATATTGGTAAAATATCTGCAAGCAGAGAAAAAGCCTGATAAATCAAGCTGCAGGCACCGATAAGAAAACTGGATCAAACATTGGCCCATTCGTATATATATATTTTTAAAAAGGCCAAACATAGACACACCTTTATTGTTTCTAAGAAAAGCCTGCAAGTACTCTGGTGAGAGAGCAAGGTTCAACATAAAAATTCCTGTGTTCTTTGCAAAGACAGTAGGCTTCCAGGAAAGAGTCTATTCTTTGTCTGTGGGCATGTACACAGTTGGCTTCAGTGGGTTATGCTGGGCACTTTTCTTTCTATTTTTTAACATGCTTTTCACTGGGAGGTGAGTTTCTACGAGTCATTACTTCAGCCTCTGATTGGTCTCAGCCTAAGATCTCAGGACAAGGTTTAACTTTACCTCCTGACTGGCCCTGGGCCAAGGTGCCAGGAAAATCTGAATAGCCTCCATGAATAATCATTTCAGCTCCTGACTGGTTCTGGGTCAAACTCTGAGCAAAGTTTAGTCATGCTGTTTCAAACTAGTCATCACATTTCTTCTCTTCTGAGCTTATACAAACCTCCAACCCTGCCTCATAGTGGGTAATCTACTTGGGCCCCACTCTCCACTGCAGAGAGCTTCCTTCATTTGCTTATTAAACTTTTACTCAAATGATAGCCTTTGTTTTCATGATTTTTAATTTTTTCGCTGTGAGAAAACAAAATAAAACCCTGGGTGATACCTTATAAAAAGAATCTGCTACATTGTGTATGGTGAATTTGTGAGACTGCAAGAGTACTAAAATTTACATTTTTTTTCAGGAGTAAAGCCCTGTTTATCCTGGAGCTAGTAACATAATCATGCCCTTGTGCATGAGAATATAAATCTCTTTTGTTTCAGAGTCTCAGGATTAAGAGAATCACAGTTCTTCAGTATACACTTGAGAAAAGTGCAATCTAAAGATGGTTTATTATGTATCTGGGAAAGGAAAAACCAGAGGCATTCCTCCATCTTCTTCCTTCTTTCAAAGTGACCCAGGGAGGAGAGAGTGATAGAAAGGGCATCTCACTTCTCCACTTTCTTTACATCCTCTGCGTCACAGCCACCCTTACAGGTGGAGCCTATAAACGCAAGCATAATTTTCACCCATGTATCTGGAGGGGCTAGTCTACAGAAGTATCATCCTCACTTTTCTGAGGCTAGAGCTCTTTTCCCTTCTGCATTTTCTAGACTCACCGGGATCATAAGTCTCCCAGGGTATTCTAAAGGTGTGGGAGAGACTATGCAGTAGTTGGATTTCAGTGAGACCTCTTAATGGAAAGAGTGTTTCTAACACCCATTTCTACCTTCTGTAGCTATGGCTCTAGTAAAACTACGGATTTCCAAATAATGAGACCAATTGACTACTATCCATGTAATTCATCTTTTTGTTGTTAAAACGCCAATGTAACTCACTTTAGCAAAACTATCTTGGCCGGGCGCGGTGGCTCAAGCCTGTAATCCCAGCACTTTGGGAGGCTGAGGCGGGCGGATCACGAGGTCAGGAGATTGAGACCATCCTGGCTAACAGGGTGAAACCCCGTCTTTACTAAACAAAACACAAAAAATTAGCCGGGCGTGGTGGCGAGCGCCTGTAGCCCCAGCTACTCTGGAGGCTGAGGCAGGAGAATGACGTGAACCCGGGAGGCGGAGCTTGCAGTGGGCCGAGATCTCAACACCGCACTCCAGCCTGGGCGATAGAGCGAGACTCCGTCTCAAAAAAAAAAAAAAAAGAAAAAAAAGAAAAACCATCTTAATAACATAAAACTAGAATGACTATCTTTCCTCCTATGGGGGCAGCAGTTAGGCCTGAATTTTTCATTCAAGGGTTTTTTTTTTTTTCCTGGTTATTGAAAAAGAATTTTTTCTGTGTGTAAATCAGGCATGGAGACTGATTTTGAAAAAAAGAACAAAGAAGAGAGAGGTATTAGGAGACTAGAGGGTTTATACAAAGAGCTAACAGAATGGACACATGGAGAAATAAATCCAACTAGGTGGTGCTATAAGGTTTGAATGTTAGGTAAAAACTGACGTCAATTTTTTTTTTCCAGGCAGAAGTTAGAAAAAGAGAATTAGGGCTTTGTAGGCTGTTCTCATAGTATGCCTTCTACTACAAGAAAACTGTCTTAAAAACCATGGAATATTTTATTTCTCATTTTCCCCACAAGGCCTTTCTACTGGATCCCTGATGCTCATAAGTCAGAGGAAGGTTTTTACTTACCTCTGCTTCCATCTGTCCCCCAGTGAGGTGATGGTGCTTAGTGTGTGCTGAGTAGAACGCAGGTCTCGTCCTCTAAGGCAGCCGGTGTTGAACACGTGGGAGTTTCCATGGTCAGAAAAGGTGGCATCGCCTGCCCCCTGTGGTTGTCATGGTGCGGGAACCATTCGCCCCCTCCTGGCTTACCTGTGGCACCAAATAAAGGCAGAGTTCAGATTGTTCAGTGCCATCATTTTGGAAATTCAAATGGAAATGGAGCCTATTCTCATGTGCTTGTGTGTGTGTCTTTGTGTGTGTGTGTAACCATAGGAAATAAAATGAACACAGTTGCAAACTTTCCAACTTAGCATTAATTTTTCCACAACATAGTCCTGAGAAATAAAATGTAAAATTATACAAATTCTCAAAGAAAGCAGAGAAAGAAAGGGATGTAACCTTGGGTTTGGTCATGAGTTTTAACATGTGACATAAAAGCCGATTCATAACAGAAAAAATAATTAGCATTATAGACTTTCTCATATCAAAAGTTTATACTCTGAAAAATCTAGTTCAGGAAATAGACAAGCCACAGCCAAGAAGAAATATCTGCAAAATACAGATCTAAATAATAACTTTCACTCAAAATATACAAAGAAATATTGACACTCAGCAATAAAATAGACTACCAATTAAACTAGTAAAGAGCTGAGCAGTACATCATCGATGAATATACACAGATGGCAAGCATACAGAAACATGTTCAACTTCATATATCATTAAGGGACTAAAAATTACAACGAGATGGTGTGGCCCATCTATATTTGTTGGAACTGCTAAACTGTTTTTAAACCATGACAAATGAATTGCTGGAGGAAAAAACAGCATTGCATTCATTGCTGGTGGAATGCATGATGGTACAGAAATTATGAAAGACAGTGTTGAAAACCAGAATATGCCTCCCCAATATATGACTATAGGAGACCAGAACATGCCATCACAAAATATGCCACTTGGGTATAAAAATCATTTTGAACCTATTATTTTAAGAAAATGCAGACACAAGGGAACTGAAAACAAAGCAGAACTTACCCATTTGTAAAGAAAATGTACATCTACTAAGGAAATCTTCATTTTAATGGAGTCTCCCTCTCAGTACCAATAAGAGAATGGTGACTAAATCAATAGAGGCTCTCCTTAAAGACTTCCAGAAGCACCCTCACAAATATACCCAGAAATGGTACTCTACCAGCTATGTGTGTATCCCTTAATCCTGTCAAGTGAACACCTAAAATTTACAATCACAATTTTTATGCCTGATTTGTGGCTAAAATTTTAGAACTAAAGCTATAAGATATCTGTTTAGATCTATCTGTATGTGTGTTTGCATATCTTTTCTATAGGTGACATTTTCAAATCTCTGGATGGCATTGCAAACAATTTCTAAAATCATTTAAAGGTGCTCTATTCTAAATTGGCTTCAAAAAAGTAAGAAATTATAAGTAAAATATTAACAAAACACTCAGAAAATACAGAAACTGATCCAAATGTTTTCCAAGTGCAGATTATTTTGATAAAACTTAGGTGAGTAGCACTATTTTAATAATTTTGACTCACTAAAACAAGTATGTCTTCAGAATTTTCACTATCAAATAATAAAACATACATTTTTATTCTGTTTTGTTACCAGTCAAACAAACCAGTATTATATTCACTAGATATTTAAAATCTTAAAAGTTATATTTGATTTTAATTAAGTTGTCATTTTTATGACCAACATTATTGTAGTAATAATTATGTTTTACAGCATATCTAATAATAATTTATAAAATCTTTCTAGTGATTTGCTACCTTAAAGCTACGGTAAGTGAAAGATGTTTATTAAATTTCTAGAATGTTTATAAATGAGATAAAATGCTAAACCTTTAATTATTAAACATAAATTGAACTGTATATACTTGTAGCTTCTTATTTTTACAGAGAGACTGAAGATATTTTGATCTTTTTAAAAACATTATTTTCTACAATAATGAGTCATTGCCTTATTAGTATAGAGGACACATATGCCTCTAGAAATTATGAGATGGTGTATTTATAAATTTTCAATCTACTATGGAATGCTAGCATTTGACAAACAGTATGAAATGAGCAGTACACAAAATACACGAATAAGAAAAGATGCTTAAACTTTCTTGGTTGTATTTGTATTGGTAAAATGTTATCTTTTCAGAAACTGTATGGAATTCCTGGAAATTTGTAAATGTCCTCCCTATCTATTATATGCCCTAGTATAATATTATGAGTCATAATTCTAGTTACTATTTTAAATTTTGTATGCCACAGAAGCAGACAAATTCCTGTTTAACTGTGATATAATGAGTTTCCATTACAGTTTTAACCATGGCCATTGTACACCTTTTGTAATGTACAGGTAGGTAGTATTTCAATCTCATGTTTTCCCAAGAGGTTCTGCATCTGCGTTGGCTACAGGTCAGAATGTTTGTCTTCAACAAAGAACTTCCTCAAGACCAATGGAAACAACAATGATGGGTCCTCTGGATATAAAAATCTGATGTCAATTGTTAAATAACTTTAAGATTATAACACAGGACTGAAGAACAATATCCAGAGCTCTAGTTGACAAACTGATGGGTTCATGGCACTGCTAACCCAAGATTAAACAATATGGGAATTGATTACATTGCACTGAATGAACAGATAAAGAATGTGTAAAATTTTACAGCTTTTTTTGATTTGGAAGTCTGCTGGTTCTTTAATATTCTATATCTCTGGATTTAAGAATTTTTTTATTAAGTTAACTATAACTCATAACAATTTAATAGATTATACTTTTGTAAACAGAAGTGGAACATTTGTAAACCAAAAATGAAATTTTAAGCCCAATCTGCCCCAGCCATCTGAATGGACCCCTCTTTTTGGCTAAGGGTATTCCAAAGTTGGTTCAGGTCATAAAAGGGAGAAGGATCAGACATACTTCATTATACACTCCTATCTTTTGCAATTCAGAAAAAGTTAACCATCATTAACATCAACACAGACCTTACGTCTGATAAGAAATATTTATAATCTTTTCTCTGGGTTCCTCTTCATGATAAAACTTTGGTTTCTATACCCTTTGTTATTTATTGTAACCCAGATATTTCTTTCTATTGATTCCATGTCTCTGGATAACTTAAATCTTTAAACCAACTGCCAATCAGAATGCACCACCACCCATTTTAAGTTGTCCCACTTTTGGGAACCAAACCAATGTATATCTTACATGTATTTGATTGATGTCTCATGTCTCCCTAAAATGTATAAAACTAGGTTGTTCCCAGAACAGCTTGGGTACATGTTTTTCATAATCTCCTGAGAAGGGTTCTGTCATGGGTAACTGGTCACTCTTATTTGACTGAGAATAAATCTCTTTAAATATTTTACAGAGTTTGAGGGTTGTCATCAGCACATTTCTCTTTCATCTCTCTGCCCATTCCTCCAGAATTCTGAAACTCTTATAAAATGTTCTCATTTTCATGACAATACAGTTATTTGCAAAAGTTCAATGAACATCTGTTCTCCTTTTAACAGGACATACTTGAGAAATTTGTTCATATTACGGAGGCTTTCACTGGAAGTCACATCTGAACAATACAGGCTCATGGTTGAGTACTAACTGACCTTTAATAGGTTCTGATTTTATTTAAAATTGTGAAGATTGAGAAAAAAGGAGACCAAATTTCTTTAATTAATATGCTATAATATCAAAGTTTGATAGAGTTAGTATATCTCAGCTAAAGTAAGATGTTAATCTTTATAAAACAGCATTTTCAGTACCATAACAAATTCATTCTCAATTAAACTGTGACGTCTAAACAAAAGAAAAATGGTTGCTAACAAGGTATACATCGTATATTTGAACTTAAATAATGATTTAAGTTCCAATATACCTACTTAAAATTTTTTTCTGGCTGGGCACCATGGCTCATGCCTGTAATCCCAGCACTTTTGGAGACCAAGGCGAGTGGATCATGAGGTCAGGAGATCCAGACCATCCTGGCTAACTCGGTGAAACCACATCTCTACTAAAAAAAAAAAAAAAAAAAAAATTAGCTGGCATGGTGGTGGGTGCCTGTAGTCCCAGCTACTCAGGAGGCTGAGGCAGGAGAATGGCATGAACCCGGGAGGTGGAGCTTGCAGTAGGTGGAAATCATGCCACTGCTTGCCAACCTGGGGGACAGAATGAGACTCTGTCTCAAAAAAAAAAAATGTGTATTGTTTCAACTATTTTAGCACTGTAAGAAAATGAACCATGAAAGCCTGAGTAAAAGTGATGATGGAGGGTGTGATGTGTCCCTGACCTTGACCCGTCACAGTGGTGCTGCTTAGTACCCCTCCTTTCTCTGTACCAGGATTTCTCCCCAGAAACAAGCCCAGATCATCTGTGAAGCACATGTTGGTGGCTGTGACAATGCAAGATCACAGCCTCACTCAAGAAACAATTTTGTAAAGTCAGAGTTGGAGGCCAGGGGTGTGGAAGTAAGGCCCAGGGCAGTGATCCCTCCTCAGTACTGGGGGCCACAGACAGAACACTTTTTCCTCAGCTTTCCTCACCTGGCAAGCAGACTTCCCAATGTTGTGGCCTTTCCAGGGGAGACGAGATGTCATCCTTACTGTGGATGCAGATCCAGGTATCCCAAGTGCACTGAAGTCATGTCCTGGGTGGCATCTGAGGAGAAGGAAGGCCTGTTTGATGCCCCCAGGATGCTGCCCTGCAGTGTGTTGCATGGGCTCCTTGCATCTTCTCCATGATCCCCTAGTGGCAGCCATAAAGAATCTCTGAAATATGGGGAGGATGAATCCAGCCAGTAATCTCAGGAAGTGGAAGTGAAATAGAGCCTACCTTCCTGTGCCTTGATAGGAATGAAGACAAGAAGAAGCAAAGAAGATGGCCAATAGACCAAACTCCATTGATTTTTCTCTATATCAGCAATAATGGATAGGAATAATTGAATTTGAAACATTAACACACAATTTACAATAGTACCCCCAAACTGAATCAATTTGTAGGGATTCAATCAGGCTGGTGGAAAAATTTTAAGGATGGTTATAGATGCGTACACAAAACTTCTTGGAAGGCCTGAAGGTTATTACCAAAGTCTCAGGATAAGGTTATGGATGAAGGCAATCTAATCCTTTCATTGAGTAAATGGCTTAAAGTGAGTACAAAGAAAGGTAGAGTAGGTTATCTAGCTAGCTTGTTTACTCATGTGGTCTTAAAACTAACGTTTGATGTACCATGGGTCCTTAATTGCTTTCTACTCAGGACATCCCCAGTATCAATTACCCTCTAGTAGTGTTTACTAAGGATCTTTGTCAATTAATCTTTACATAATAAATGCGAGTTTCACTGACTGATCAAAGTCAAAGTCACAAGTGTTTACAGTACTCTCCCGGGAGTGTGTAAGCAGTTCAGACACTCAGCTGGACTGGCATACCAGAATATTTGTTTGTCAATGTACTTCATTCATTCATTGCTAGGTCAGGGTCTGTAGGTCAGACCCCTGCATGAGGAGTGCTACCACAGTTGGTGCCCTTGTCTGAGGAACACTGTGAAGGGAATGTGATGGATCCCCCAAAAATGAAGGTGAAGAGGGACTGCACAGTCAAGTCACTGAGTAATCAGTAAGTCATTGGTGCCCACTTGGGCTTTCCAAGTTCAGAGAGGATTGGTCAAGCTGAGGTCTCATCGTGATACAGCAGTTATCAACTGAAGAGAAACAGTAAATAAAAGTGTTGAAACAATGCTTAAGGCTAACAGAGCATCACTTTTGCAGGCTCAATTAAGGGACCAACTAATGCAAACTGTTTAATGCAAAGCCCATGATTCCTAGAAGAAGGAATGCTAGACATAGAACTCTGGGAAAAGTGGGGAAAAATCTTAAACAACATCAGAAGCAAAGGCAACAGTTCCAAGTAACAGCTTTAATATTATGGGCTTTAATTAGAGCAGCCTTGTTTCTGTTATACACAGAAGAGTCTAAAAAGGGGAAGCAGGAGAGAATGTCACCTGCCTTATCACTTCCTCTTCCCTCAGTGGCGGGCAAAAGCTGTCCAGCAGTGAACGAAGTGGCACAAGCAAAAAGCCAGCAAAGGAAGAAAAGCAGCACCTTTACAAGTGCAAAGCAGCCACCACTCAGGGACCCTCCTGGTCAGCTCTCTAGCTGTACAGGAGACACACCCACAGCAAAATACCTTGTTTCTTGTTTACAGGTGACATCCCAGATTATGATGCTCTACTAAGATTTAAGTAAAATGTAAGAATTTGAAAACCCTCTTTCTAATTGTGGCCACCATTACCTCTCCTTACACCTAACATGATTCTCTCCAAATCCAATTGAAATAAAAAAATAACCTCTAAAGGGAGAGACATTACAATAGGACCATGGGTTAGCTAAGGAATAATTACAAGTGAACTTTCCTCCCCACTAGAATAGAGTTTCCTGATTGCAAAGTCATTCATCTTATAGGTGATATTCTACTAACAGCCCTTGATATTCAGCCAATTTGTGATTCCCAAAAGTCTAGTAAATGCTTTACTGACAAAATAGTTCACTCCCTCATACCTAATGCTTTAACACTGTTTACACTTGGTTCTGATCAACATGGAAAGGCAGAAGTCTAGTAGACACCACATAATTCACTAACTCAGTCTGAGTTTACTAGCAATCAGAAAGCTAAAGTTAAAACCTTTATATTGACTCTAAAAAGCTTTTACAGCCCTTAGTAAGTCCACTCTACACTCTACCATATGTGTTCATTTTTTCTGTCTTCAGCAATGGTGAGACCAAAGTACACATCCTATTTTATTGCACATATTTAAGTATACAGCTCTCTGCCTGACCCATTGTCTTATGGCAATAATCAAGCAGACCTTCAAGTTATGACATCACTGCTTGACCAAGTCACCCAATCGCATCAATTTTTCCACCAAAATTGGAGAAACTTATCTAAACAATTTAAACTTACCCAGAGACTGGCTAAACACATTATCCTACAATGCCCAGATTGCTAGCTTACAGACACATTCCCTCCTTCAACAGGTGTTAACCCTAGAGGACTAGAACCTAATAAGTTATGGCAAACAGATGTACACACATCCTTGAATTAGGAAAAATAAGATATGTACATGTATCAGTTGACTCCAACACTCATTTAATTAGTCCACATACTCTGCCTGGAGAGTCAACTCTATATGTCATTAAACATCTTATTTTAACTTTTGCATTTATGGAGTGACCCACAAAAATTAAGACTGATAATGGTACAGCTTATGCCAGCTCACAATTTCAACAATTTTGTCACACTTGGGATATGCAACATTCCACAGGTATCCCCTATAACCCCCAAGGACAAGCAATAGTAGAACATGCCAACTTCACCTTTAAAAATGTGCTCAAAAAACAAAAAAAAAAGGCAGAAGTGGTAAAGACGCTGTAACATTATTGGCAAAGCCTTATTTATCCATCAGCTGTAGAAAAGCAATTTGCTAAAACCTCTCAAGGCATAAAACCTTCAGTTTTATAGAAGGATGTAAACGGTAATGAATTGTGTGGACCTAGTGAATTATTAACATGGAGAAGAAGGTATGCTTTTGTCCACACCCCCTCAGGTCCTCTTTGGATTCCAATACAAAGCATCAAACCATTCCATGGCAAGGCCAGGACTCAATCTGCTACCAGAAATGAAGGCATTAGCCGTGCAAGACCCACAGCCCCAAATGATGTGGCTTCCACAGAGGACACAGGTCCCAGGCATTATGCTGAAGAAACAGAAGACTAAACAAATCCTGCTCTGGACACAGACACCTTTCACTTCAGCTAATTTATTTCTTTTTAGTCTCTCACTGTGCCTACTACCTGTACCTGCTACACTCTAATAAGCC
Organism: Homo sapiens; assembly: GCF_000001405.40. NCBI lineage: Eukaryota > Metazoa > Chordata > Mammalia > Primates > Hominidae > Homo > Homo sapiens. Next base: position 32,694 of record NW_018654725.1, on the reverse strand, counting down.
CATCTTCTAAATCTGACATTTTTCAGCCCTGTCATCTGGGGATACACTCCCTTTCCAGCTTCTAATAACATAACTGCTTGCCTGGAAGGAGTTAACAAACCCCCAGTGGGGTTCCTTAGTAACAGCACTTATCAAACTGAAGTACCAGGTCACACTTTGATTGGAAAAGAATGTTGCTAATTGTACTTATGATTGTTTTCTGTTATTTTCCAATTCTAGGATGCAAAGCCAGAATAAGAGCAATGACTGCCTCACCTGAAAAAAACTGTTCCTGCACACATCTACAGTTTCCAATCAAAAGGACATGATTCAAAAATGAAAAGAGGGAGATGTAGGAATTTAATCAGTCTGGTGGGAAATATTTTAGACATAGTTATATAAATAAACACAAACCTTCTTGGAAGGCCTGGAAGTTTTTACAAAAGTCTCAGGATAAGGTTACAGCTGAAGGCAATCTAATCCTTACCTTGAGTAAACAGCTTAAAGTGGGTACAAAGAAAGGCAGAGTAGTTTACATGGCTAGCTTGTGTACCCAGATAAAACAAACCTTTGATGTACCATGGGTGCTTACTTGCTTTCTACTCAGGAAATCCACAGTGTCAGCTATCTTCTAGTGGTGTTTACTCCCTACCTTTGTCAATTAATCTTTACCAAATAAATGCAAATCTCACTGACTGATGGAGGCTGAAGTCACAAGTGTTTACAGTACTCTCCAGGGAATCTGTAAGTGCCACATGCACTCAGCTGGACTGGCAAAACAGAATAGTTTTGTGTCACAGTACTTAACTCATCCATTGCTGGGTCAGGGTCTGCAAGTCAGACCCCAGCACCTGGTAAGGAGTGCTACCACGTCCATTAAGTATAAATGTAACAAAATATGCAAAATTCATTTGGAAAGCCATGAGTCACCATTGAGATAAATCAAAAGAAATATAAATAAATGCAGACAGGCCAGGCATGGTGGCACACAACTGTAATTACAACACTTCCAGAGGCTGATGCAGGCAGATCACTTGAATCCATGAGTTAGAGACCTGACTGGGCTACATGATGAAACTGAGGTGGGAAATTGGAGATATAAAGAAAATTAAAATTAAAAAGAAAAAGAAGTAAGCATTCCTGTATTAGGCTGATCTGTCCCGCAGGCAGCAACAGTCACATATCAGACTCAGGAAAAGTCTTGGTAAACACTATCTGAGATGCTCATACACAAAGCAATGTGCTCTGGAGACTCTCCCAGCACTCCGCCAACACAGGGAGTAGAAAAACAAATTTTGCTTTGTTTTGGTGTATGAGTTTGTAGATTCTTGTTCTCTGTAGCTAGTAACTTCAAGTATTCTGTTTTATCAAAGAAGTACAGTGAAGGTCACAAGAAGCCTGAGCAGACCTGAACCACAGCTGTCTGGGCATCATAGAGAAAGTTATAAGATAAACCAATGCAAGGCTCTTTAGAGCAAAACCTAGATAATAGATATCTGGATTGCTTGGCAATGGTCATGTGTAATTCTGAGTTATGAACCTGTCTCAATTTGATAAATTGTTCTGCCTCTGTAAACTTGCTTTTGTGCCACTGTAGCTGTAAGCCTGCTTCAAGCTAGCCTACCCCGTTTTTGAAGTGTGTGTAAGTCAACTGTTGTCTTTATTCTGGGCCCAGCTTTTTGGATGTTGAGTCCACTGAGTGTGAGTGCACTCAGTAAAAATCCTCCTCTACCCCAAGACCTCTCTGGGCCTCCTCATTCCACAGTAAAATCTCATCTCTACCAAAAATACAAAAAAATAAGCCAAACGTGGTGTTGCACACCTGTGGTCCAAGCTACTTGGGGTGCTTAGGTCAGATAATCTCAGTGACCTAAGATCTTGCCACTGCATTCTAACTTGGGTGACAAAGTGAGACTTTGTCTCAATAAATATAGGGAAGAAGTTTTTTGTTTAGGAGCAGTACGCTAATTATTTTTTCTGCCAAATCCCAATCAAAATCCAGGCAAAGACATTGACAAACTTTTCCTAAAATTACAATGAATGAAATAAGGCTGAGGAAGGACAAAGTTAAAAAACTTACACATCTGGGTCAGAATACTTACACTAAGCTAGAGCAATAGAGTGTGGCATTGATGATTTAATAGACAAGTAGATAAGTGGAACTGAATTGGCAACCCCCAAACAGACCCAACTCAACAGATTTTGTCAATGGCACAAAGAGTTTTCAATGGAAAAGATAAATCTGTTCCACAAGTGGCAACAGAACAATTGGAAACTATATGAAAAAAATAAACATAGACACAAACTTCATAGTTTTCCTGAAAAAAATTACTCAAAAGTATTCATACATTGAAATTTTCTAAGGTAAATTTGTAAGAGAAGAAAATCTGCATATCCTTGGATTTGGTATTGAGTTATTGTCCAGTCTATGAAAGAAATAAAAATTGATAATGTAGCCTTTATTAAAATTTGAAATATCTACTCCGTAAAACACGTTTTTAAAGTCAGGCATGGTGGCTCACATTTGAAATCCTAGCACTTTGGGAGGCTGAGGTGGGCAGATCACCTTAGGTCAGGAGTTCCACATCAGCATGGCTAACATGGTGAAAGATGTTCTCTGCTAAAATACGACAAAATTAGCTGGGCGTGGTGGCAGTCACATGACATTCCAGGTACTCTTGAGGTCGAAGCAGGAGAATCCTTTGAACCTGAGAGCCAGAGGTTGCACTGGGCTGAGATCACACCATTGCACTCCAGCCAAGGTGACAGGGCAGGACTCTGTCTAAAAAAAAAAAAGGAAAAGAAATAGGATCCAAAGAGAACCAAAAAGCCACAGGCTGAAAAATGACTTGAATGCAAAATATACAAAGAAACTCTAAAACTGAAGAATATAACACAATTAAAAGGAAAATACCTGAATAGATACCTCACTTAAGGAAGATAATGGAGGTGGAAAACAGGCACACAAAACATTGCTCACTGATCTCCTGCTGCTTCTGCTGAAGGCTGAGGTTCCATGCCCCTAAAGAGCAGCAGTGTCTGCCAGAGCAGCAGTGGCTCCAAAGGCTATCCCCACATACCCCAGCTCTGCCCTTTCTCCAGGGCCCAAGAGTCCCCCAGGCACTGGTGATGCTCTCCTGAAATGAGATGGAAGCTGGATGTTTCATTTCTCAGCTTTTCTTAAAGTTCTAGAGGCTGCCAAGTATCCTTAGGTTGGAAGATTTATTTTTATCCTAACAGCCTTGAGGCACTTATAAGTATTAGAAGGTTGGTTTTCAACCCAAACTTTCCTCCATAAAGGGATAAAATAACTGACTCAGCTGGGCACAGTGGCTCATGCCTGTAATCCCAGCACTTTGAAATGCTGAGGAGGGTGGATCACCTGTCAATTGTCTGAGACAACACTGGCCAATATGGGGAAACAGTGTCTCTACTAAAAATAAAATTAAAAAAATAGATGAGTGTGGTGGTAGTCTCCTGTAATTGTAACTACTCAGGAGGCTGAGATAGGAGAATTGCATGAACCCAGGAGGCAGAGGTTGCAGTGAGCCAAGATTGCACCATTGTATTCCAGCCTGAGTGAGAGGGAAAAATATCCCACACAAACAACTTGTGCTAAAGAATTCCTGTTGCTCCCTTAACACCAGTAAAATAATCACTTGACTGAAAGTGTTCTCTATATTATGACGCATCAGATTAATTCACCACATTGTCTCATTAGCTAGAGTTTACTATCTCCTTCTAGTAACCATAAAATTAGAACAAATAACAGGATAAATGATTATGTGTACTAGCATTTTTTTTTTAAGTTTTTACTAGGTAGAGCTTAGAGTGCATATTTTTAAAATTCTTTCTCTTTGGCACAGCACATGCATGCTTTTTGGCAGCAGTCATAGAATAATGAACAAACAATAACAATGAAATAATGCCAAAAATCACTTGCTGTCAGGGGAAAGCAAATTAACAATGAGAGCACTGAACATCTATAATATTATAATATGTCTAAAATTTTTTTAAATGCAATGAAAACGGTGAAAGGAATGCTTGTTCTTTGCTGGTGGAATGCATAATTGTACAGCAAAGTTAAAAGATATTATTTCTTCTGCCACAATTTTGGCAGTTTTTTTTTTCCAAAGCTAAACATAGCCTCACCATATAGGCTAACATTTGCAGACTTAAGTATTTAGACAACAACTTTGGAAACTCACATTTAACCAAAAACCACATGCAATTTTGTATACCTGCTCTCTTGATAATGGCCAAATACTTTAAGGAATCAGGATACCCTTAAATAATAACCAAGCCAGGTAAATCCATGAAATAGAATACTATTCATCAAGACAATAGGATGATTTATGAGGTCATGCAAAGCCATGAATGCATCGTATGTATAAAAAGCAAAGCAGAAAAACCCAGTCTGAAGAGACCACATATTGTATGATCCCATTTCCGTGACATTATAGAGAAGAAATGTGTACAGAGATGGTAAACTGACCTGTAATTTACAGTGCTTTGTAGGTGGCAGGTAGTGAGCTGAATAGGAGAACAGGCTGATAGAAAGAGGCATAAATGGGCCAGGTGGGAGTCAACTCCTCTGGCTGGTGCGATCATGCTGGGCATATGGAAGAGCCAAGAGTATGTAGTACCAGCATAAATAAAAAGGCTCCTACTCATCCTAGGAGTGGAGCATCTTCTTTCTTCACACATAGAACTATCTTAGGAACAGTTCTGAGAAAAATTTGTTGTATGAGATAAAACATACATAACAAAATTTACCATTTCAAACATTTTAAGTGAGTATTTCAGTGAAATTAACTATTCTCAAGTTGTGCAACCATCACCACCATCTCACTTTCTCACCAGCAATGCACAAGAGTTCTACTTTTTCCACATACTCTCCAACTCTTCCTTAAAAAAAAATAGATGTTCCAATGGGTAAAACGTGGTAATCTCATTGTGATTGAGGTATTCGTTTAGCTTATGGCTAGTGATGTTGAGCATATTTTAATGTGCTTATTGATTCTGGGTTTGTCAATGATTCTATGAACAGAAGAAAAAGAAAAAATAGATAGGCAGGTGGTTCACAAGATCAGGAGATTGAGACCATCCTTGCCAACATGATAAAATCCTGTCTCTACTAAAAATGCAAAAATTAGCTGGGTGTGGTGTTGCACACCTGTAGTTCCAGTTCTTCAGGAGGCTTTGACAGGATTATCACTTGAACCCAAAAGGCAGAGGTTGCAGTGAGCTGAGATCACACCATTACACTCCAGCCTGGGTGACGGAACAAGAATCCATAAAAAAAAAAAAAAAAGAGAGAGAGGACTTGTAAGGACTTTTCTCTTTTCTCCAAAGATACACAAATAGCACATGAAAATATGTTCAAAATCACTCACCTCAGGGAAACACAAGTCAAAGCCGCAGGAAAATGTCACTTCATATCCATTATAATTGCTATTATTAAAGAAAAGCTAACAAGGATTTACATGAAAATGGAGAAATGTGAATGTAAAATTGTGCAGTTGCTGTGGAAAATAGTTTGGTGTTTCTTCAAAAAGCTAAACACAGAATTACCATAGAACCCAGCAAATCCACTCCCAGATATATACACAAAAGAACATAAAATGGGTATTCAAACAAAAACGTGTACACGTATGTTCATAGCAGCATTATTCACAATAACTAAAAGTAGAAACAAACCAAATGTCTACCAACAAGTAATAAGAAAACAAAATTTAGTATTCCCATACAATGGCATAATATTGAGCTGTAAAAGATATTGCAACTCTAATACTACAATGTGGAGGAACTTCATAACCATTTTGGTTAAAGAAGCTGAACATAAATGGTCACATACTCTATGATTTCATTTATATAAATATCCAGAATAGGTAAGTAGATAGAGACAAAAAGCAGATTACTGGTTGCTAGGGGTCAGAAAAAAAGGACAGATTGGGAAGTACCTCTTTAGTAGGTAGGGGATTTCCTTTTGGGATAATAAAAATTGGAACTAAGAGGTGGTAGTTGCCCAGAAATGTGCATGTACTAAAGGTCACTGAATTATTCATCTAGAAAGTTAATTTTATGTTATGGAAATTTTACCTCGATAAAAAGACAAAATTCCTTTCCCAGCATTCTCCAACCAGGGTGAGCTCTCTCCATGGGGTGCCATCACCTTGGGGTTCAAGTCCCTCCACAGTCCAGAATGGCCTGGAGCCTGGCCAAACCCATTCTGGACACATACTCCAGCCACACTGTCCACCAGCTCCTAGACCTGTTAACAGTGGAAGATATCTGAGTTACTGGTGGCGAATCCATCCAGGTCTGCAGTAACCACAATTCTTGCCTTCTCAGAAGAAAGACTTTGACTGAGGACTATAAAGCAGCAAAAGATACTAAGGGAAGTTTCACAGCAGGAGAGGACGTTTATTAAAAAGTGATCTCTGAAAGTCATACGCTGAGGGTTTGTCTCTTAATGTGTATGCCTGAGCTCACTTGCCCAATAACTGAGATTTTATTGGAAGCCCTTTTTTCTTCTCCCTGGTGCCTGCATTTAATTAACACTTTAATGTTAACAGCTGTGGATCAGTAGAAGCTTGTACCTCTCTGGCTCCAGCTGCTAAATTATCATTTTTAGAGAGGCAATATGAAAACTGTCCAACCATCACCCAATGACCTGACATTCCTGGTAGGTGGGTGGGAGGGGAGAAACCTCTCCTGCCCCACTCATTTCTGTGTAACTATCTGTAACAGACCAACTAACTGGCCATTTCCAACCCCAGGTCACTTTTCCTCTGCTGCCTTCACAGACAGCCAGTGATCAGTGATACCTCCTCAGGGTTTACAAGGTCTTCTGAATCTTTTTCTGCTGTACTCCAGACCTCAACACTTAATATCCATGGTTTGTCCCATTTCAACAAATTTAAATTAGCTTTTTCTGAGCACCACCACAGGCAGCTGTCTTGCTCAGGTGAACTAACAGCAACTCTGCAAGAAATGGGTCATCCCATGTGCAAAGGGACAGCCAGGATCAGGTGACTGAGTGACTTACCTGTAATCACACAGCATCCAAGTGGACTCATACTCAGTTTCCAGCCCACAGCCAGGTCTCCAGGTGTCATTTAGAAAAAGTTTGTGAGTCACATGAACATGTATCCAGGACACACCCAGACTTCTTTTTATCAACGATGATGAGCTCTATCTTCTGGGACAATGGGTGTCAAGACCCACCCAGTCTTCTTTCCCCCATCCAGAGCCAATGTAGGTATCTGATACTCATTAGGTAACAGAATCTTTTCCCAAAATCCTTTCATATGTAGGGTTTTTGGAGGGGATTGTGTAACACACAGGTCAGAGAATGCAAGTTTAGAGAGGGCATCAGAGCAAGCACATGGAGAAAAAGCTGGTGACTTCAAATGTAAAGAAAGGGCAGTGTGCTAAAAAGTTACTGCACTGAAGTGTGAAGGAGACAAGGGATGATTATGACTAAAGTAGGGGAAGCAGGAGAGAAAGCAGGGAATAGATCAAACACTTAGGACAAGAATCAGTGGTTCCTTATTAAAGTCAGTTCATACCTACCAGGACATGATGTGGCCACTGTACTCATAAAATGAACCATGAGAAATGAAGACAAGTTCACAGGCTATATACATAAAAAATGTTCATGGTAGTCCCATGTATACTAGTCCCAACTGAGAGCCCCAAACCCTCATCCACAGGAGAAGGGTGAACAAGCTGTAGCATATCCACACCCTGGAATGTGGCTCAGCATGCAAAGGAATGGATTGCTTATGCACTCACCACAGGGTGACTCTCAAAGCAGCAGTGCTGAATAAAAGGAGCCAAATCAGAACAAAACACGGAGACCCAAAGACTTACCATATCTACCTGAAACTCTATAAAATTCAGCTAAAGTTTAGTAACAGAAGCAGATCTGTGGTCCAAGGGTGGCCAGGGAGAGATCAGTATGGGTCAGAGTAGAATATGTTTTCATGAGCTTCATCAAGGTGTGGCCTTGTGGTGGATGGAATACTCCCATGGAGAAAATCATTACTTCTTCTATTTGAGGGACTGCTCCCCCTCAAATCCTATGTCTTCCACAATTCTGTCCTTACTGGGAAACTGACTTGAGCCAACCTGGTCTCAGCTCCTACACAAGAGAGACACCCATTCCCTGGGAATCTGGTTCTGGTGGCCCATAATAAACACTGGCCTGGAGGGAGAAGCACAGCTCATGTGTGCTATAAGCAAGACTGTAAAGTACAGAAGTGGACACGGCCTTCAGCCCGATGGTCCCAGGTGACATGAACCAGGCTAAGAATTCATGGGTCTCAGCCTCCCTCTGTGAGAAAAGAAACTGTAACAACTGTACATATAAAAATTTTTCCAGGATTCCAGAGGCAGTACCCAGTTTTTCAGGACTACCCTAACCCTAAACCTAACTGTAACATTAACCTTACCCCAACCCCTACCCCTAAACCTAACCAAAAAACCCTAGATCTAACAGCAAGCCTAAACTCCAACCTCAACCCCAACATCAACACTATGCCTAATCTTAATGCCTAACCCCTCACACAAACCAAAAACCAAAACCCAATCCCAACACTAAATCCTAATGCTGACACCTGAACCTGACCCTGACCCTGATAATAACCATAACTCAGCAGCAACCCAAACATACCATGAACTGAACCCAAAACCCAACCATAAAACCCAAACCCTAACCCCAAAAAACTAACCCTAACCATAAAACAATAACTAACCCATCTCTACCAATACTCCCTTAAAACCTAATACTAGCACTAAAATCCTACCCCTAACACTAACCATAACCCCTAACACTTAATTCTACCCTAGCCACTAAACCTGAATCCCAAACCTGACACTAACACTAACCTAAGACTAACACTAGCCTCTAATGCTAACCCCACAACTCTAATTCTAGCCCTAAACATTACCCTAAACCTACACCTACACCAACCTCAAACCCAAAGCCAAACCTAACCTTGTTACCTAAACCCAATCCATAATTCTAGTACTAATCCTTAGACCAACCCTAAACCTAAACCTAAAATTAAACCCTAGCCCTGAGCCTAACCACTAACAGTGACTTTAACCCTAATGTTACCCAAATATCTACCCTAACCATAAACCTAACACTAACCCTAACCAATAATGCTAACCCTAACTGTAATCATAATATTGAACATAACCTTAACCCCTTAACCTAAACCTAAACACTAACCATAACCAAAACCATAAAGCCTAACCCTGCCACCACCATAACTCTAATAATGACCTTATACAATAATTCTAAACTTAAACCTAATCCTAACCCCAGGCTCTCACCATAAAACTAAGACACGGAACGTCAAACTCAATAAAAACCCAAATACTAAAAATAAGCCCTAACCCTAACACTAAACCCTGAGACTAATCCTAAATCCTAGAACTAACCCTAATCTTAAGACCTAAACAAAACCATCTGACCCTAACAATAATCCTAAACCTACAATTTACCATATCCAATAACCTAATCCTCACCCTTACCCTAAATACTAACCCTAATGCCTAACCCTAATCCTAACCTTGAAACCCTAACCCAAAACAAAACCATAATCCTTAAATGAAACTCTGACTATAAAACCCTAAAACACTAAACATAACCCTGACCCCAAAACATAAGCCTAACAATAACCCTAACTCTAATTGGAAAACCATAAAAACTGAACCCTAACACTAAAACTAAACTAACTCTTAACTTAACCCTAAAATTAAACCTAAGGCATGACCCAAACTGTAAAGCCTGAAAGCTAACCATAACCCTAACCCTAAACCATAAAGGCTGACTGTAACTCTTAATTCTCATCCTAAACACTAAATATAACCCTAGTTCCTAACACTAACCTTATCACAAATGCTGATCCCTAACACTAATCTTAAACTCTAATGCTCATCATGAACCATAACTCTAATCTTGAACTTAAATTTCAACCATAAATCCTAACCCTTACCCTACACCTTAACCCAACACTAACTGTAACCCCTAACCTTAACCCAACTCTAACAGTAACCCTGAACTTTAACCCTGACTGTAAGACTAACACCAACCCTAACCTCAAACATAACCCTTACCGAAATCCTAACCCTGATACCCCAACTTTAACCCTACCCCTACACCAACACCAACCCGGTTTATAAACCTAAATCATACCCTCCCTTAAACACAGGACCTTAAGCCTATATTCTAACCTTAATAATAACACTAATGCTAAACAATACCCTAAACATAAAACAAGCTCTAACGCCTACCCCTAATATTAAAAATTAAACCCAAGCCTTAAACCAGACCCAACACTAGCCCAAATCTTAACCCATATCCACAATCCTAACAATAGCCAGACAACAACAAAAAAACCCAAAACCAACCTGAACACTAATACTAAACACCAACACTAATCCTAACCCCTGACCCTAACCCTAAACCCTAATACTAAACCAAACACTTAACCACAATCCTAAAACCGAAACCTAAGGCTTATCCTAAGCATAACAATTATTCTGAATCCTAAACCTAAGATTAAGCCTAAGACACTAACCCGAAACCTAACTCTAATGCCTAAATCTAACTCTAATTCTAACTGTAAAATACAAAATCCCAAAAACACTGAAAAAAACTTTAACTACATCCCATAACCCTAACACTAATACTGATCCAAAACCCCTAATCTTAACACTAATACTAACATACTCCTAACATAATCTTAAACCTAGCAATAAAACCAAACCGTAACTCTTACACAGAACACTAAACCCAAACTGTAATCTTTAACCTAACCCCTAAGCCAACACCTACCCCTAAACCTAGACCAAAACCCTAATCCAAACTAACCCTAAACCATAAACCTAACCTTAATCTTTGCCCCTAACCCTAGAAATACCTTAATGCTATCCCTAGTGGTAAATGCTAATCACTAACCCTAACACCTAACTGTCCCCTAACCATAAACCCTAACCCTACTCCTAAACTCTAAACCCAACCCTAACTGTAACACTAACCATGACGACTAACCCTAACCCTAACCCAGCCCTAACAGTCATGCCAGCCCTAAATCCAAAACCCTAGCCATATTCCTAACAGTAAATCTTACACCTAACCATAACCATAAACATAAATGATAAATGCTAACCCTAACCTTAAACCCCAATCCTCAACCCCAAACCTAAATCTAAATGTAACCCTAAACAGTAATCCTAATGGTAAATTCTAACCCTAAAGCTTAAGCAAACACTAACCCTAACACAACCCCTCTAACCCTTACCCTCTACATAAAGCTTAACACTAATCCTAATCCAGGCCATGACCCTAATGCCTAACACCCTTCTGTATGCCTACATTTTTACCTTAACCCTAAGCATAACCCAATCCCAAACCTAACTTCTAACACTGATTCTAACGTCTAACCCTAACACCTAACCCTGACCCTAACTCTAACTCTAAAGCTAATCCTACCACTGTACTAACCCCTATCCCAACCTCAGCCCTACCTCACAATGTAATCCTAAACCTTGTTCTGCAATTGTAAACCCCATCCCTAATTCCCAAAATCTTTCTTCTTCCTCTTCTTCTTCTTCTTCTTCTTCTTCTTCTTCTTCTTCTTCTTCTTCTTCTTCTTCTTCTTCTTCTTCTTCTTCTTCTTCTTCTTCTTCTTTCTTCTCTCTCTTTTTTCTTTGAGACGGAGTCTCCCTCTGTTGCCAGGCTGGGGTGCTGTGGCATGACCTCAGCTTACTGCAACCTCTGCCTCACAGGTTCAAGTGATTCTCCTGCCTCAGCCTCCTGAGTAGCTGGGAATACAGGCACGTGTCACCAACCCCAGCTAATTTTTTTCTTGTATTTTGAGTAGTGACGGGGTTTCACCATGTTTACCAAATTGTTTTGATCTCTTGACCTCCTGAACTGCCCACCATGGCCTTCCAAACTGCTGGGATTATAGACATGGGCCACCGAGCCCAGCTTAATCCCCAAATTCTATCCTATCCTTAATATTTGCCCATCGTGCTTCAAAAAATATTAAATACATCCTCTACAACTCAAAACTCTGACCCCTAATACCCATGATATTACACCAAACCATATCTTTTTCTAACCCCAACTGTGTATTAAATTAAACATATGGTATCAGTAGGAGAAAAAAACTAAATGTTAATAAATTTGATAATTATAGACATCATAATATTTAACCAAATAAGAGTACATGGAATTTGGTACATAGTGAAAACATTATACATCACAATTATTAAGTTCTTTTTTCAGCCAGTCAAGGGTTTCTCACCATTCTAAACCCATCCCTTTTCGATATACTATGCAAAGTAACTGATGGAAAAACATCACTTTTGTCTCAACTGTTTCAGAAAGTACACAAAGATAGTCAAAATATTTTAATAATAACAAAATCCGATAAACAGTGTTTCAAATTTTTTCACATAACAAAATGTCCTTATGCAAAACCCATAACAATCATCATCTGAATTGTTGGGAACCAAAGTTTTAAGATGAGGAACAGCACTGATGCTCACTCTCATCACTGTATTCAACACTGTACTAAAAGTTCCACTAGAATAATTTGAAAAGAAATATATATACAAAGCCACTCATATGTATAAAGAAGAAGTAAAACTACTCACAGATCTCCTACACAGAAAACCAGGAGGAACCAACAAGAAATTATAAAATCTAGTGAACAAATTAAGCAAGGTAGCACAACAAAATATCAACACAAAAAATCTTTCTCTGTACGCTAGAAATTAACCATTTTGCTGCTATATTGGGACCTCCCTGCAGTGCCTGTGGGGCTAAACAGAAACCTTTCAAGCTCCCGGGAAATCAGAATAAAATTACTTGAAACCATAATGTATGAAGAAGAGAAAACCTACAGTGGTTGTGAAAGCTCTAATGCCATGATGTCAAATGGATATCTTCTGAGCCCTGAATTTCTTGTAAAAAGAAGAACGTGCACAAACATCAGAAACAATGAAACCCTTGTTGAGTGTCCCAGATCATTTTGCTGAGAAAGACACAGTTGAGGTCAATTTGAAATACATCCCTTCACAAATGCTTCCAAAAGCATGCAAATATTTTACCTACACATTTCACTACACCCACAGTTCCACAGAGATTCCTGAATTCCCATTTCACCTGAAACTGCAGAACTGCTGATGGCTGTGAACTTTCCAGATTCTATATAAATACAACGAATTGTACATAAATACATTAGATTGATATAACAAAATAAATTATAATCAACTGGCAACTCTTTTCAGTGTTTAAGACCTGTAGTTGAGTTTGTATTTTTTCATAGATAGTACATATCTTGTATGCAATGTAGCTGCAAAATTAATGACAAAGAAGATTGTCTTCTGTTTTTTGCATAATAGAGTTTAAATTTGTTTACAATCTCAGCAATTTAAGGAGATTTTCACAAACTGAGAAATAAACAAGTATCTCAATTCATAGGTCCTTTTGCCTTACCCATTGGATATGGCTTTTGAAATCAGCAATAACGACATGAAAATGCTGAAAATTAGACATAAATGAACCTCTTCTACAACTAAATAATGGGGCTAGGTGTTTTGATATTTTTAGTGTTTTTTTAAAAGACTATTTTGATTTTGTAGCTGCCCATAGCATTGCTGGAGTTACACAAATAATTGCATTATAAGTATATTTATAACTTAGCCAAAAAATAGATTTTTTTAACTGACCCTGACGTAATAAACATTTTGTCAATGCCTATAATCCCAGCACTTTGGGAGTTCAAGGTTGTCAGATGAGTTGAGCTCAGACATTTGAGATGAGCCCAGCCAACAGGGTACATCCTTTTCTCTACAAAAAAATTAAAATGGGCCAGGTTGGTGGCTGAGTCTAAAGCAGAAGGATCAATTGAACCGTAGAGTAAGAGGTTGCAGTGAGCCATGATGGCACATTGCATCCAGCCTGGGGAACAGAGTGAGACCCTGTCTCAAAAAACAAACAAACAAACACAGAAACAAACAGTATAAGAGTTAAAATTTCTTATGTCCTTGGAAAAATTTTAGTATTGTTTAAATGTGTCTGGTCTTGTCATTATTTTTACTGCTACAATTTAAGAACTTTAAGGACAATTTGGGAAGATTATCAGGTACAAATTTTGAAGAAGCACTTGAACTTTACCCAGATGGTCCAGAAGTTAACTATACAACTTAGAGTTCTTGTGCATTATGACTTTTGGGCAATTAAAAGTACTATGTTTTCATTGATTATAAAGCAAAGCATCTTTTCATCCTTAAAAACAGCAAAAAAAAAAAAAAAATGGGTTGGGTGTAGTCATATACACCTGTAATTCCAGTAACTTGGGAGGCCAATGTGGAAGGACCACCTGAGCTAAAGTGTTCAAAGGTGCAGTGAGCTATGATCACATTACCACGTTCCTGCCTGGGCAACAGAATAAGACTCTGTCTCAAAAAATAAAACAAAAAAAACAACAACAGTAATAATATTTTAAGAATAAATTTAACCAAGGAGCAAGACTTAGACATGGAAAATTACAAAATATTGCTGAAATAAATTCCAGAATCTGTGAATAGATGTGAAGACATTCCATGTTTCTGGATTAGAAGATAATTTTTTTAAGATGACAATAGTACACAAAGCAATCTAGAAATTCATTGTGATTTCTATGAAAATACCAAAGTTATTTTGACAGAAAGGGCAAGCCAGTCCTAACATTCATATAAATTTCAAGTGACCCTGAATAGTGAAAATAATCTTGAAAACAAAAACCAACTTGGAGTCTCACATTTCTCAATTTCAAATATTACTGAAAAGCAACAGTAAGAAAAACAGCATAATATTGGCATAAGGACACACATAGAGATCAATGAAACTGAATGTCAAGTCCAACTATACCTCTATGGTCAATTGATTTTGTAATTCAGTCAAGACCATAAAATTCAACAAATGCTGTTAGACAACAAACTAACCACATTCAGAAAAAAAATTGTATCTTTTCCTCATCAGTCAATGGTTCAAAAGCCTACCTATTAAAGGTAAAAACATAAACTCTAGAATAAAACTTAGGGATACTTCTTCATAACCTAGGACTTAGATCTGATACAAAAATCTTAGATCTGATACAGCCAACTAAAGAAAAAATTCCCTCAAAATAAAACATATTTTGCATTGAAAGACGGTATCAAGAAAGTGAAAAGACATGCCACAAAAAGGAAGATTTGCACTTTATTTACTTCACCAAAAATAAATGCAAGAGAAAACAACTACATAAAAAGATAAACAGTAAAATATTTAAGTTTTACACCATGAAGTGTTTCATATGTTAGCTTTTCTCATAGTTATGGGATTCTGTGTTGTAAAATTGGTCCTGTCTAGCTCCACCTGAGGTTGAGTCAAAGTAATAATATGGCTGGGTAGCAGGTTTCCGTGGATGAGAAAAGAAAATACCTGACAGGAAAGGATGTTCTGAAATGAAGACTTTTCTGCTTAACTAGAGTTTCCAATAAAGGTGACAGTTTGCCCCTCAGTCTCCATCGGTTAAGAATTTGCCATCCAGTAGGAAGTAAAAGAGAGAGCCTTAAGTTCATGGGGTGCATGGTTACACAACTGTCCCAAGTCCTGTACCAGAGCTGTGACATACTTACATTCCTTCTCAGAATTTCAATATATAAATATTAATAATTCACCTGCTTAAATGTCTAGGCTTACTTTATTACTTTAGGTTATACAGTTAAGGATGTTTAGAACCATTTATGTAGATTATCATGATGTGGGCTAGGACTTTTCATCAGTTAACTGCATTGATGGACTACATAAAATATAAGTATTTAAACATAAAATATCTTGTAAGTAGTAACACACAGTTGGAAAATATAGGAAGGTAATAGTCTCTCCAATAAATTCTTATGTTATTTCAATAATCAGTCTTGTCATTTGTCTTCAGCACTGAGCCTTTTTTTTACCTATTATCCCAAACATGGGCTTTTATTTTATTTACTATTATTTTCTTGATTTCTAAATTGAGAGTGATCTCATCAATGATCTAACAAATAACAAATCATTTCTTTATCTTTAGAAACATTACATTATTAACTTTTCTACAGTTAGATATCACAACTGATGTGACTTTAAGGATTCAGTTGGATAAATCCCTAGGAAATTAGATAAATTAGGTAAGGGTGGGCACTGGGTGAATGGATTGAGGATGCACACAAAATCCCCAAGACAATCAAGAGCCCCCAAAGTGGGAGCAGATGAGGCTGCAAACAGTTGAGCAGACTAAATGGGAGAGGGCAACAGGCAGGACCACTTGGGATCTGCAGCCATGTTGAGTTCTATGGTCCTTGTTGTAAGCTCAGTGGGAAGCTGTGTCCAGAATTGGTTCTTTCCACTAGGTTCTTGGTCTCACTGACTTCAAGAATGAAGCCACAGACCCTCACAGAGCATGTTACAGTTCTTAAAGATGATGTGTCTGGAGTTTGTTCCTTCAGATGTTCCGATGTGTGTGGAGTTTCTTTCTTCCGGTGGGTTCATGGTCTTACTGTCTTCAGGAGTGAAGCCACAGACCTTCACATTGAATGTTACAGCCCTTAAAGGTGGCATGTCCAGAGTTGCTTATTCTTCCCAGTGGGTTTGTGGTCTCACTGTCTTCAGGAATGAAGCCACAGACCCTCACAGTGAGTGTTACAGCTCTTAAAGGCAATGTGGAACCAAAGAGTGAGCATCTCCAAGATTTATTATGAAGAGTAAAAGAACAAAGCTTCCACAGCATGGAACTAGACCTGAGTGGGTTGCCACTATTGGCTGGGGTGGCCAGCTTTTATTCCCTTATTTGTCCCCACCCACATCATGCTGATTGGTCCACTTTACAGAGTGCTGATTGGTGCATTTACAAACCTTTAGCTAGACACAGAGTGCTGACTGGTGTGTTTCTACATAGTGCTGATTGGTGCATTTACAATCCTTTAGCTAGACAGAAAAGTTCTCCAAGTCCCCACTCCAACCAGGAAGTCCTGCTTGTTTCACTTCTCAACCCCCCCCTCTAAAGAGGACACCCCAAATGTTGTTGGGAATAGGGCAATGACTGCTCTAGCTACTTCCTGCTAGATAGGTGCAAAGAAGGGGCCCTGCATTTGTAATATCCCCCACAGGGGAACTCTTTAGGACAGTGAAAGGACCTGTGGGTTGATCCAGGGATCTGTGGTAGAAGTTGTTAGTTGAGCTCATTTGAGGTTTTAGTTGTAAGACCCTCTGTAGGTTGATGGCCTTGATCCTAGAGGAAATAAATTTGACAAGGAGGTTAAAAATACAGGATGCAAAGGTTACTAATATCAAGATGGCTGTCACAGGACCTAGAAAGGGTAGAAGCCATGATGCCCAACTCCAGAGGTTGGTACAAGAGTCTGAAATCTGTTGTATGATTTCAGAAGCCTTTTCTTGTAAACACCGGTCATTGTCTCATACTATCCCTGGCTGGTTAGTGTAAAAACAACTCTCTTCCCCTAAGAAGGTGCAGAGTCCTCCTTTCTCAGCAGTGAGGAGGTCTAGGCCTTGATGGTTTTGGAGAGTCATTGCTGCCACAGAGTCTATTTGGGATGGTAGAGTAAGGATAGATTTTGTTATTTCTTGAAAACTGTCTGAGAGGCAGATGTAGGTTGAAGATCCACATAAGAAGAATATGCCTTGGCTGGTTAGACAGAAATTTATCCTGGCTTTTAAAGGAATAGGGTACACTGCTTTTACTTTAGCACTTCCATCTCTTTCTTTCTCTTTGACTTCTTGTTTGTTTCCCTCTTTCTCTTTTTCTGAGTCCTTCTTTGTCTCTTCCTCCCTGACTCTCTCTCTCTTTCTCTCTGTCACTTCCTCTCTCTCTCTGTCACTTTCTATCTCTTTCTCTCTTTCCTTTCTGCTGGTCTTTCCCTGACTCTGCCAGCCACTTGGGCTGCTGCTCTCCACCCCCCTTCCCCTTTTTGATGGCTTCAGCAGTGTAAGACTGCCACCTCCTTGGGTTTTTGCACTGCATGCAATAACTCCATAATTTCTTTGTGGTATTTAATGGGGGTTCCCTCAGAGGTTAGGAACTCCCTTTCTTTCTATATTGCAGCATAGGCATGTAGGATTAGATAAGCATACTTGCTATCTGTATACATATTTATTCTTTCTCTCTTTCTAAGTTCTAAGGCTCAGGTAAGTGCCACTAGCTCTGCCAATGGGGTGCTGGTCCCTGGGGGAAGAGGCTTACTTTCTAGTATGGTTACATTACTAATTATGGCATAACGTGCCCTTTGTATCCCATTCTCCACAAATGAACTTCCACTGGTAAATATGTTAAGGTCATGATTACCTAAGGAAACTTCTAAGATATCATCTTGGTCAGCATTAGTCTGGACTATAATCTGTTGGCAGTCATGCTCGATTGGTTCCCCATTCTCTGGGAGAAAAACAGCAGGGTTGAGGGCCAAAAACATGCATATTTGAAACAACATTCCCTCAAGGAGTAGCACCTGGTATCTAAGCAGGTGATTGTCTGATAACCATAAACTTCTTTTGGCACCTCATCTGCCATTTACATCATGAGTAGTCCAGAGAGTGAGATCCTTTCCTTGTATTATTTTGATAGCCTCTGACACTAAGACAGTCACCACCACAACCACCTGTAAACAGTGAGGCCAGCCTTTTGCTACTACATCAATTTCCTTACTTAGGTATGCCACTGGTTTTGGGTTTGTCCCACGAGTCTGATTAAGGACTCTAAGAGCTATCTCTGCTCTCTCTATGATGTACAAAGAGAAGTTTTGTCCTGTGGGAAGGCTTAAATCTGGAGCTTGTGCTAGGGCCTGCTTTAAGGGTTTGAAGGCTCTTTCTGCCCTAGTTCCCATTCTACTAGATAAATATTTGCTTTCTGGGTGTCCTTGATTAGAGTATAGAATGATCTGGCCATCTCACTGTATCCATGGATCCATTGTTGGCAAAAGCTGGTGTTTCCAAGGAACCCCCACAGCTGTTTTAATGTCTTAGGGTAAGGATAAGCCAGTATAGGCTGTATTCATTCCTTGCTGAGGGCCCTAGTCCCTCTGGCTAAGATTAAGCCTAGATATTTGACCTGGTCCAGGCAAACCTGGGCCTTCAACCAAGAGACCTTGTACCCCTGATTAGCTTGAAAGTTCAAGAGATCTAGAGTAGCCTACTGGCATGAGGCTTCCAACCTGGTAGCCAAAAGTAAATCATCCACATAGTGAAGGACCAGACTGCCTGGACTTGAGAATTGGCCCAAATCTTGGGCCAGTGCACAGTGAAACAGGTGAGGGCTATCCCTAAGCCCTTGGGGCAAGACCATCCACATAAGTTGGAATGTGTGGTCTGTGGGATCCTCAAAGGCAAAGGGAAACTGGGAGTCAGAGTGTAGGGGAATACAGAAGAAGGCATCCTTGAGGTCCAGAACAGTGAAAAATTCTGCTTCCTCTGGTATTTAAGAGAGCAGGTTATAGGGGTTTGTTACAACTGGATATACAGGAATTACTGCCTCATTGATGAGTCTATGATCTTGCACTAGACTCCACTGATGGTTCTGTTTTTGTACTTCTAGAATTGGGCTATTGCAAGGACTGCTGCATTGCCTTACTAAGCCTTGAGCTTTTAAATGTTTAACAATATCCTGTAATCCTTTATGAGCTTGAGGCCTTAGGGGTTATTGCCTTTGATAAGGAAAAGTGGTGGGGTCTTTTAGACTGATTTGGATTGGGCAGGCATTTTTCCCTTCTGAATTGTCTTCCCAATACCCAGACTTCAGGGTTGATTCCCTCCTCAAATAGGGAACAACAAATGGGTAACTTGTTCCCCATATTCATGTAGATAATAGCTCAAGCTTTGGCTAATATATCCCTCCCTAATAAGGGTGTGAGACTTTCAGGCATAACAAGAAAGGAATGTGAAAGGAGCAAAGTCTCCCAAATACAACTGAGGTGGTGGGAGAAATACCTGGTTACAGGCTGTCCCAGGATTCCTTGGATGGTAATGGACCTTGAGGACAGTCATCTGTGACAGGAGATTAACACTGAGAAGGCTGCACCAGTGTCTAGGAGGAAGTCAATTTCCTAGTCCTTAATGGTTAAATGTACCCGGGGCTCAGTGAGGGAGATGATATGAGCTGGTGCTTCCCTAGTCACCCTCAGTCCTGTTGTTGGTTCATCTGGTTGGGGGCTCCTGGTCCAGAGAACCTTTGCCCTCTGAGGCAGTGTGCCTTCTAGTGATTGCCTCAGCATTGTGCATATGGATGAGGGAGTGGCCTTTTTCTCATTGGACAATCTTTTTAAAAATGTCCTTATAAACCACACTTGTAAAAAGCCCTATCAGGTGATTGGCCTGCTCCATTTTCTGTCCTCTCTGAACCACCAAGATTTGTTTGCCTGAGGCCATCACTAAGGCTGTGGCCTGTCTCTGATCTCGCTTTTCCTTTTGGGCCTGTTCCTCTTGGTCCCTATTACAGAATACCGAGGTTGCCAGGTTTTATAATGCCACCAGATGGCAGAGCTTGCAGTGAGCCAAGATGGTGACACTGCACTCCACTCCAGCCTGGGCAACAGAGAAAGACTTTGTCTCAAAATGTAATAATAATAATAATAATAATAATAATAATAATAATAATGCCTCCAGATTTTGTTCAGGGCCCAGGGCTTGCTTTTGGAATTTTCTCCTGATATCTGTGGCTGATTGGGTAATAAATTTATCTTTTAGAATCAACTGACCCTTGAGTTAGTTGGGTGACAGGGCAGTATATTTTCTTAAGGCCTCCCACAGCTGCTCAAGGAAAGCAGAAGGATTTTCTTCTTTTCCCTGAGTTAAGTTGGACATCATTGAATAACTCATGGTTTCTTCCTAATTCTCCTTAGTCCTTCTAGAACACAGGTCAATAGATATTTATGACTCCCAGTCCCCATGATCTGAGTCAATTTCCCAGTGGGGATCCATACAGGGAATGTCTTGTTGAATGGTAGGGAATTTGAGCCTTTCTTCAGCTGTCATTCTATTATTTACTTGACTAAGACAGCAAGTATCTCCAAACTCTCAGGCTGCAGCTAAAGCCACAATCTTTTCATTAAAGGCCGGGGTTTGATCTAACAATAGCATGATGTCTCTCCAAGTGAGATTGAAGGTTTGCCCTAGACCCTGTAGGACATCTATGTACCTATCAGGATCATCTGAAAACTTCCCCAGGTTTGCCTTGATCTGCTTTAAATCAGAGAGGGAGAAGGGGACATGTGCCCTGGTTGGGCCAAATTCCCCTCCCCTTATAGCTTGAAGGGGACATAACTAATAGCCTGGGGGTTTTTGTGGTCCTTTGGAGATTTCTTTTCTTGTTTCCTTCTGGGCAAGGGAGATTAGCGGAGGCTGGGTATGAAGGTAACCTGAAAGGTCCTCCTCTAGGATGTAAATTGCAAGCTTTGCATAGTTGTGTATTCTCCTTCAATGAAAAGAAAGCTTGGACATAAGGCATTTCACTCCATTTGCCTTCCCTCTTACAGAAAAAGTCAAGCTGCAGGATAGTATTGTAATTTATACTTCCCTCAGGTGGCCATTTTTCCCCATCAGAGAGAGAATATTGGGGCCAGGCCATAGTGCAGAAAAAAATGAGCCTCCTGCTTTTCAGGGTTTGTGGGTCATATTGGTCCCAGTGGCTTAAGATGAATTCCAAGGGTGAGCCTGTTGATACCTGAGAGTTTCCCATCTGAAAGACAAAACAACCAGCAGTTTTGGTTTGTCTGTTTCTCCCCCTGCCCAAGAACCCACAATGGTCCCTGGACCCTGCTGATCAGAATAGTTGTGCTCACCAATGCAGCAGCAAAAACACCTCTTGCCCAAGAACCCACAACAGTCCCTGGACCCTGCTGATCATAATAGTTGACTCACTGATGCAGCAGCAGAAACACCTCTTGCCCAGAAACCCACAATCGTCCCTGGACCCTGCTGATTGGAACAGTTGCACTCACTGATGCAGCAGCAGAAACATTAGTTTTCCTCCTAGACCACAAACAGGACTGAGAAAGGTTGGATTTAGTGGCCCTTACTGACACATTCTGAAAAACCTGCAACTTTGCCTCTCCTCCTAGGGTGGCAAAGGTGCAGGGGACCAAGAAAAATTGGATTTAGTGGCTCCTACTGACACATTCTTGAAAACCTTGTAGAGTCCTAAGCATTCTCCTGTTAGTATTGGGATCTTACAACTGTCCTATAATGATGTTAGGCCCCAAATATGAAGTGGGGGGCCATACCCTGAGTAAGGGAAGGGATCTCAAGAGTTGGAAGAGTGATGCCTTTTGTCTTCATATGAATAGGAAAGATACCATTTCTGAAGCTCTTCATATCCTAGCTTCAGGAATTGCTTATTTTAGGCCTGCCAGTCTAAGGAAGCATCCTAAAATTCCAGATAGTAACCCTAACCCCTGATGGGGCTTTGGGCAAAAATTATGTCTTTCTGATTGGTGAGCCTGGGTAGCTAAAGAAGGTAAAAGCACCCTGAAGTTTATACTAGAAATCATTCTTATAGGATAAACTAGAAAACACCAGTGACAAGGAGTGGTTTTTAGAAGCAGGACTAGCCTAGGAGAAGAAAGGCAAGAGGAAGTTTGACAAGCATTAGGACCCAGGAGGCAAGCATCAGGATAGATAGGATAGATGGGCGAGTCTCGCTTGGGCGACATGACTTTGAGAGTTCTGCTCATGGCCACTGGGTCCACCAACTTGTTGGGACCCCAGAACTGAATGGCTTTCCTTTCTGTTGACCCCTGGCTCATCCCAGAAGTACAGGAAGAGCAGAAGTTGGTTCCAGGCAAACCAACACTCCCAACTCCAAAGAGTCTGGGTTTGTTAGAGAGCCTTTTCCCAGAAAGCCTGACACTCACGTCTTTAGTCTGGTGGCCATGCTAGTCACTTTTAACAGTTCAACAGGTGCCCAGTATTTAGTCTCTGAATTCTAAGGAAAAATAGGACAGAATAGCAAGTGAAAGGGGTCCGATGGTATTCACCGCTTGGTGAGTGTCCCATCGGGATCAACAAAGTATGTCCAGAATTGGTTGCTTCTGGTGAGTTCTTGGTTTCACTGACTACGAGAATGAAGCCATGGACCCTCGCAGTGAGTATTACAGTTCTAAAGATGGTGTGTCCGGAGTTTGTTCCTTTAGATGTTCAGATGTGCCTGGAGTTTCTTCCTTCTGGTAGGTTTTTGGTCTTGCTGACTTTATAAGTGAAGCCGCAGACCTGGGCAGTGAGTTTTACAGCTCTTAAAGGTGGCATGTCCAGAGTTCTTTGTTCCTCCTGGTGGGTTTGCTGTCTTGCTGACTTCAGGAATGAAGCCACAGACCCTCGTGGTGAGTGTTACAGCTCACAAAGTTAGTGCAGACCCAAAGAGTGAGCAGCAGCAAGACTTATTATGAAGAACAAAAGAATGAAGCTCTCACGGAGTGGAAAGTGACCCAAGCAGGTGGCTGTTGCTGGCTGGGGTGGCCAGATTTTATTGTTTTGTTTGTTCCCACCCACGTTCTGCTGATTCGTCCATTTTATAAAGTGCTGGTGGTCTGTTTTACAGAGTGCTGATTGTTGTGTTTACAAACCTTTAGCTAGACACAGAGCACTGATTGGTGCCTGTTTACAGAGTGCTGGTTGGGGCATTTGCAAACTTTCACCTACACACAGAGTGCTGATTGGTGCATGTACAATCCTTTAGCTAGACAGAAAACTTCTGTAAGTCCCCACTCGACCCAGGAAGTCCAGGTGGCTTCACCTCTCACAACCATTAAGACAATTAAATCAGGAAAGTGACAGGATTAAATTTGTGCTTGTAAATAAATATTTTGCCATTACAATTACCAATACTAACCCTGTATTTCCTGATTTGGTAGTTATATGATGGTAATTTGGGAGAGTGTTTCCACTTTTGTTAAAACACAGTGGGATACTTTGAATGAAGCTGCAAATATGGCACAGCAATAACCAGTTGGGAATCTGGGAGAAAGGATAAAGTATACTAACTGCTATTTCACATTTCCTAGAGGTAGAAAATTGTTGGGAAGTAAACTCCTTTTTAATAAAAACAACCATGTCAATACCATGTCACTAAAGCAGAGACAACAACATCAAACTCCATTAAAGGAGCCAAATCCAGCTTCAGTGGAAGCTGTGAAACCAAGTGCCTTTGTAAGTGTAGGAATGTTATATCAGTATTGCAGGTCTTACATCTGTATGACAGGGTTACCTCAGTACTTATGGGTGTTACATCAGTGTTATGGTTGTTCTATTTGTATTACAAATGTTACAGTAGTATTATGAGTGTTATATTAGTATTACAGGTGTTACATCAGTATTACAGTTGTTACATCAGTATGAAAGTTGTTATATTTGTATAGTGGATGGTATATTGGTATTATGAGTGGTATGTTGGTATTATGAGTGTTGCAATTCTATTACAGGTTTCAAGACAGCATTATGGATGTTACATCAGTGTTATGGATGTTTTATTTTTATTGTGAATCGACACTGGTATTATGAGAGATAGAGTTCTATTAAGGGTGTTAGATCAGTATTATGGTTATTATATTTGTATTGCAGATGTGATATTGGTTTTCTGAGTGTTTTATTGTTGTTATGAGTGTTACAGTTGTATTACAGGTGTTAGATCAGTATTACAGGTGTTACATTAGTATTACAAGTGTCACATCTGTATTGTAGGTAATGTATTTGTTTATGGATGTTGTATCTCTCTATTGTAGATGTTATAATTGTGTGATAAATGCTATAGTTGTGTCACAAGGCCACGAGGCCTTGGCGCACACCTGGCATTGTGGCCATCACACCTTGGGTGTGGGGAAAGACCTTGGGGTGCACTAGAGCTGTAGGATTTTTTTGTTTCTAATTTTCCACACAAAGGCCTTCTAGTGGGCCCCTGATCCTCAGCAGTTAGAGGAAGGTTTTCACTTATTTCTGCCTCCTACTGTCCTGGAGTGAGGCAGTATGGCTGGGGTCTGTGCTGAGGAGAAGGTAGCTCTTGTCCTCAGGTGGCATGCATTGAACACGTGGGCCCTCCCAGGGTCAGAAAAGGTAGTCTCATGTGCCCCGTCTGGCTGCCGGCAGAACTGCAGGACCCAGGTGGTCATGGTGGGGCAGCTATGCATTCTCTCCTGACTGGCCTAAGGCACCAAATAAAAGCAGACTTCAGATTGTTCAGCACCATCATTTTGGAAATTCCATCTGAAATGCTGCTATTATCCTGGGTTTTTTTTGTTGTTGTTTGTTTTTTGCTGAAAATGATGAAGAGACCATTAACCGGAAACCACAGGCAATGAAATGAACAGAGATGGCACATTTTACAACTTACACAAAATTTTTCTCAACATAGTTCTGAGACTTAAAGTGTAAAACTATTCAAATTATAGAAGAAACCACAGAAAGAGACCTATGTGACCTTGGGTTTGGTCATGAGTTTTAATATATGACACCAAAGCTTATCCATAACAGAAAAATTAATTAACAATGTAGGCCTTCTCATATTAAAAGTTTATACTCTGCATAAAATCTTGTCAGGAAACAAAGATAAGCCACAGTCTGAGGAGAAATATCTGCAAATTACAGATCTAAGCAAGACTTTGCTCTGAAAATATGCAAAGAAATATTGAAACTCAACAGTAAGAGAGACTATCCAATTAAAAATGGGTAAAGAGCTGAGCAGATACCTCATCAATGAAGATACACAGATGGCAAGCAAACAAAAAGATGCTCAATCTTGTATATCCTTAAGGGAGTGACAGTTAAAACAATGAGATATGGCCTGTCTATATTTGCTAGAACTGTGAAATTGTTTTTAAAACATGACAAATGCTTTGCTGAAGGAAAGACAGGAATTCATTCACTGGTGGTGGAATGCATAATGGTACAGAAAAAAAATAACTCTTTTAAGTCCTCAAATTAATTTGAAATACTGTTTCTGTTCTCTACCATGCACAGAAGTGGCTCTCTACCTAGTCTACTTGTTGATGACAGCCCCAAGATCCAATATGATCTGTGCATCTGTCAGCAGCAGTTGGGATCCAGGCAGAAGGCAGAAGGCTCCCACAGTCAAGGTCATCTAAGAAATTTTTAATAAAGGGTGACTTATTCAGGGTATCCACAAATAATGGCAGTGTTCCCTGGGAGAGTAACAGGGCCACAGTGTTAGCACTCTTTGGGAATGGAAGATCAGAGAAGGGAGAAATTCTCAGCACTGGAGAGAGGGAGGTGGTGAAGAACAATTGGAAGAGGCCATCACAGACACTATGACCTCACTTGGCCTTGAGATGCAGCAGCCAGTCTAAGGCCACTATATGTGGAGGTTGGTGTGTCCAGTGGCCAAACCCAATCAGCAGACAGAGGCCCAGGAAAGCCTGGATACCACCTAGAGGCAGGTTAGCAGAGTTTAATCCAGTAATCTTAATTTTATAAATCTTCCCAATTTAAGCCTCCCCTTACAGGTACAAAGCGTAGTTTTATAATGCTGACATAACATAAATTACTAAAGCATGCAGGCCATGTGCGGTGGCTTATGCCTGTAATCCCAGCACTCTGGGAGCCCAAGGTGGGTGGATCACTTTTGGTTAAAAGTTTGAGACCAGCCTGGCCAACATCGTGAAATCCTGTCTCTACTAAAAAATACAAAAATTAGCTGAATGTGGTGGTGCATGCCTGTAGGCATGCACCACAGCTACTAGGAAGGCTGAGGCAGGAGAATTCCTTGAACCCAGGAGGTGGATAATAGATATATGATTTAGGAGACACAAGTTTTCATTTCTATTCTCTTCCACTTGTCATTTAAGTAATTTATTTTGTGTCAGAAACTCCCAGTTTCTCTTCTTTTAGTAGTGAATAATCACGCATCTCTTTAACCTTTTCATTAAGCATACGTTTTTGTTTTGTTATTGCCAAATAGTGGGCTTTGAGAGACCCTAACTGAAAATTAACTTAATATATATACATATAAATTTAAATTATACTTATATGAATATATTTTTATTTATAAATTATTGTTTATAAATATAAATTTGTATTTCAGAGTCATATATACATATACATATATATACTATATACACACACACACACACACACACACACACACACACACATATATATATGTCCAGGTGTGGTGGCTCATGGCTATAATCCCAGCACTTTTGGAGGCCAAGTTGGGTGGATTACGAGGTCAGGAGTTTGAGACCAGCCTGTTCAAGATGGTGAAACCCCATCTCTACTAAAAATACAAAAATTAATTGGGCATGGTGGTGCATGCCTGTATTCCCAGCTACTCTGGACGCTGCAGTTGCAGTGAGCCAGGATCATGCCATTGCACTACAGCCTGGCAACAGAGTGCAGATTCTGTCTCAAAAAAAAAAATTATAATTGAATAATGACTTTACAGCACTGCAAAAGTACAAACTGGCAGGCTCCTTTAAGCATTGTGTCACAATTTAACTAAGGTGACTAAACAGAGGTCTGATTCTCTGCAATAAGTCCCTAACTACACAACAAAAATTATCTTCTGCCCTAGAGTTGGGGCAGAGGAAGTTTTATAGACCACATCCAATAAAGCAAGTTCTTCTAAGATTATCATCACATTTTCAAGAGACAACCAAAACCCCAAAACAATCACACATCATATAAATATATACATATTTTAAATATGAAAATATAAGGTAAAAATGGCCAGGCATGGTGGCTCATGCCTGTGATTCCAACACTTTGGGAGGCCAAGATGAGAGTATTGCTTGAGCTCAGCTGTTCCAGACCAGCTTGGGCAACATGGAAAAACCCCATCTCTACTAAAAATACAGCAGGGCACTGTGGCCCATGCCTGTAATCCAAGAATGTTGGGAGGCCAAGATGTGTGGATCCATTGAGGTCAGAAATTTGAGACCAGCCTGGCCAACATGGTGAAACCAAGTCTGTAAAAACAATACAAAAATTAGCCAGGTGTGGTAGCAGGCGACTGTAACCCAGGCACTTAGGTGGTTGAAGCAGGAAAATTGCTTGAACCTAGGAGGCAAAGGTTGCAGTGAGCTCAGATCACGGCATTATATGCCAGCCTGGGTGACAGAAGGGACTGTATCTTGAAAAAAATAATAAAAAAAGCAATACACAAACTGCCGGGTGTGGGTGAACATGACTATAATCCCAGCTACTCGGGAGGCTGAGACACAAGAATTCATTGAACCTGGAAGGTGGAGGTTGCAGTGAACCGAGGTCTGAGATCATGCCTGTGCACTCCAGCCAGGGTGACACAGTAAGACTCTGCCAAAAAAAAAAATCTATAACATGTTGTGTAGTGCTTTATTTTTTTGGGTATACTATGTCTCATATTTGAGTACAAAATCCCACAAAGTTCTCACATAAGTTAAATTGGCAAAATTAATTTTATATACAAAATATGTTGTAAATACCTAAAGTTCCAGATGCATCCTTCAGACAGCAAGCTCAGGAATGAAAAGTAAAGAAGAAATGGCATGTAAAAATGCACCTCATTTTGTTTTAATCTGTAAGATAACAATGTATCAACAGGAACTTTTACCTGCTACTTTTGGAAGGAAGAGAACAGGCTGATGTAGACCAGACCAATAATAGTATTGGCCACCTGCTGTGAAGTAGGCATTTAAGTTACCTCACTGAATTCCTTCAACAACCCTATAATGTGAAAAATATCCTAGCGTTTACATTTCAGGACCCTGCAGTCATAGAACCTACCCAAAGGCACACAAGCAATTAGACACACATACAGGATTCAAGCAGGACCCTAGGACTCAAAGCACTATCTATGCTTTCCTATGTGATATTGATTGAAATTCAGAATTATTGAATTAACTTCAGACATCACCCTCTTAGTCATATTAATGGCAGTCCAAACACCTCAAGAGGTGACTTGGGATAAATTTTGTATGACCAAAATTTCATATACTGGTTAAAATCTATTTCAAAAAACAATATGCTTAACAATTACCTTAAATTCTTTCATACAATTTACAGATTGATTGAGTTCCTCCTTCTTTACATTAATAGCTAGGAGCTCCACTTGCAAAGAAACAGCTTTTCCTGAAAGAGTGAGCCCATTAAACACCATGTTTTCCCAGTGAATATAAAAGCTATTTAATATTCATGGCCAGTATGTCAGACCTAATGATCATTATTTTATAATATGAGATAGCATATATAGGGATAAAACATTCATGGGCAAGTGAGAACTAAACCCTGTTACCCAACAGTGTTTGTGATGCTGTAGATGTCATGTATGTCATGACATTTCACCTGCTACACACTTTAAGCAGAGTTACGCCATCTACTCAGAGCATAAGGCCCTAATACCCATAGTTCTTAACTTCCTTGAAGATAAAGACCTGTCTGTTATTATATTGTAACAGTCAATATTGTTACTGTATTAAAGTTATTATTTTGTCATTTTCATTTCATCTGTCATGAATCTCTGTAGATATATCATCAAAGTACAGTTTATTACATAGATGATGGTACTAACCCATAAAAGAAGAGTTAGTCTCCACAAGATAGTAGTAAAAGGAGAAGCCACACATTGGGTGTCTGGTCAACATCAAATACCCATCCTTGGTTCACTCCTAAGAATCTATTTGAAATTTCTATCAAAACTTCACTTCCTATTATAGGCAATTTCCTAGAGATACATTGACATGTAAAATGTCAGAAGATTGAAAAATTACTCATCTTTCAGTCTCAGTCCAATATATACAAGAATTCAGGAGGTTATATATCAAGTAAAATATTACAAAGAAAAATATATTAGAGGTCAATGAAATAAGAAATTACTCCACATGGGATAGAGAAGTTAAAATTTTCTGTAAGTGAAAAACAAAGTATCTCATGGTTAGGATTAATATATACCAGAGGCAATAAGTTACTGCCAACTTCTGGACAATTACACATTTATCAAAATATCTTGAAATCAAGTTGAGTAAAATATCCAGGATAAATCACAGGCCTTTCTGAATGCATATAATACTAAACATGAGGGTTTCTCAAAAGGCAGTGAAGACGATAATGTTTTTAATTTTATATAATTAGAATTACAAAAAATGTGTAATTTTATGGGGACAATGAAGTATAAGCTATATTTTTTAGAATATGGGACAGGAGCAGACCCAACTTGGGAAGCTAATAAACTTTATCAGAACTGAAAAATACAGCTTCTTTCCCCACCCAAACATCACCTTTATTCTTCCTTTCATCTTCGATCTGTCCATTAGTTCTAATGATGTGGTCCTCCTTTAGTTCAAGTTGATACATGTGAATCAGAACGACTAAATATGAGTTCCTCAGTTATCTTTCTGGAAAGACCATTATCAATGTAGATAATCTATGGCAGAGGTGCACCTGAGGGCATTGAACACGACATACTGTAAACTTCAAAGTCCCTGAGTACTAAATCCAGGGATCTAACTTCCGAAAATAAAACGTCCGGTAAAACTTTGCCTTGATGCTATAAAGCTTACTCACACAAAATGGAGGGTCGTGTTGCTATGAGGTTACTGAAAGCATCACTTTTCAGTTGGTCTCAGCTGACCCAAAGAGCACAGAAGAAAATTAAATTTACAGATCACATAACAGACTCAATCCCAAATGATAATTAGACAGTCACTTCCAATCCACTTGTCGTATCTGCCCACCCCAAACCAATGAAACAACTTTTGTGCCCAGGGACTAAGCACCGTCCTGGGAAACACGTGCCAAGAGCATTATATCTGAATTAGCAATACCCATATGCACATTTTCAAATTTTCACTTTTCTTTCCCAGCTGTAACAAGCTTCCCTTCTGGTTCCACAAGGACAAAGAAACACTCCTGTGGTGAACAGTTTCCAAACTCCAACACTTGCCAAAGTCGTATGAGAATCGCCAAAGCCAGACAGACCCCATGCAGACCATAGAAGCTGTAACTATGATACCAAATAGTTCACTAGCTGCACAAGAGTATAAAATTAACACACATACTTTAATTCATTTATTCCTAAAATTTCAGTAAAGAACGTTCCATGTTTGCTATTTTAGTATAGAAACTGACACAGAGAATGTGGGTAAAATACATCATTTCAGAATTGATTAAAAAAAACTGTCCAATAAAAAACAGAATTAGTTTGAAGAATAACCTCAATAAATGTTTGCAAGTATTATGTAATGGAATATTGATGGTAAATTATGAGGAAGGCAATAAAAATAGACCACGTAAATAAATGCCCAGAGCACGTGAGTTGAGTCCTTTCCTCATGACACATTCATGACAAATATTAACTGAGCACTTTTTATGTGTCAGAGGCTTTCACACCCACTGAAAATTACCACATGAACTAGCGTCTTAGCACTGAGATATTACTCACTGATACAAAAATTCAGAGTAAAGAAAAGCCAAAGTAGCAAAAGTTGTCTATTTTTTCCTTTCCCCATATCACATTTTCCTCACAGTTAATTTTAGCTCTTTTCTTTTGATTCTGGCTTTGCAGAATCATAAAGGAATACAAGGCACATGGACACTGACAAATACTATGACCACTATGTATAATTTATATATTGTTAGATATCCCCATCTTTGTGGCAGTATGAGTGGGATAGAGGAAAAGGTGACTAAAAGTGATTATATTTCAACTTTTGCTACTTATCAACTATGCAACCTGAGCAAGTTACAAGGTGCCCTGAAAGTTAAAGAAAATTACAGCCCTCAACAAATGTTAGAGATTCCAAGAGTAATAAGAAAAGAGGGTGTGCTTCTCTATAGCTTATCTTTTAAAAACTACCTTAACTCAAATGCAGGAAAGTATTGGCTATTGATAAACATATATATTTTTTCAAACACTAAAGTTTGCATAAGATATTAATCACAGACTATTTCCTCAGGTTTTGTTATACTTCTACCAAGTTAGTTTATACATGTTACTTCTTTAAAAGTGCCAAACAATTACTTTAGAAGTTTGCTCCTGAGCTTTCTGTCATAGCTCTCCTCAAGGGACTTTGTATTCTGCTCCCATCTTCCAAGTCCTCAGTCATGCTGTTATGTTTTTCTGTAGCTTCTGGTTCAGAAATTAGCAATAAATAAATAAATAAACAAATAAATAAATAGAGTAAATGAACCATAATAACTGAGTTAACAAATTTAGGAAAAACATCATGTGACATGCTTTTAGTTTAACAGACTAAAACTGCTACATGACTATTACTGCTGGGAAATAGAAGAAAAGAGCCAGAAGTCCTCAGCGTATTTTATGAACTGACCTGGTTACAGTGTGTTAAAACCAGCAGAACCAGGGGGCTGTGGCATCTGACCGAGAAGAGTGGGAGAGTCTCTGACTAAGGGAAGTGGGAGAGTCTCAAAAGGGAAGTGGTTTCTCATGGTAGATAATTAACACTTAAACAATAGTTATAGATGATAAATGGCCAAAATGAATTCCGGGATGAAAGAATGACACTATTAGTTATGAACTAATAAAAGTGCACTTATGGGCTGGACTTTTTGGCTCATGCCTGTAATCCCAGCACTTCTGGAGGCCAAGGTGGGTGGATCACCTGAGTTGTGGAGTTTCAGATCAGCCTGGAAAGCATGGTGAAACCCTGTCTCTACTTAAAATACAAAATTAGCTGGGA
>NW_021160030.1:0-14678 GCF_000001405.40 Homo sapiens | reverse complement strand
CTTTAATTTGATTCTTAAGTCATTGTTTCATAGATATATTTACATACTTAATGTTTAGTTAGTAATCAAAGTCATACAAAATACAGACAAACAAACAAACTAAAATCTGTGAGACAATGGCAACAGAAACATCGCGATTGTCAAATTCAACCAAATAGCAAAGACTTTGAACACTGGAATTATCAGAAAAATATTATAAAATGAGTTAGTATATTTAACATGTCTAGAGAAATAAAAGAAGGTATTTAAGCATGAGTAAGAAATAAGAAACCATCATATTTAACTAGGAAAATTTGACAGAGCATAAAATAGATCTTTCTAGAAGTTAAAAATGTCACTTAATTAAAACTTGGTGTCAAGTTTAAAATAAAGCTTCATGTTGATTAAACAGCATGTTGAACATAGCTGAAAAGAATTGGCAAACTTTCTAGTGTATCTGAAATTACTCAGAATTTAGCACACAGAAACTAAGAGATGGAAAGTATGAATAAACGTCTAAAATAATGCATGACAGACTGAAAAAGATTAAAAGGCATCTGATCAAAACACTAGAGGGATGGAATAGAAAAAAAAGGAGGATAAGAAATTTTCAATGAGTTAATAGCTAAATATTTTACACAATTGAGGAAAGAAATAAATCTCCAAACTAGGAATCCCCAACAAATCCAAAACAGGATGAATAAGATAAAGTCCAAATCTAAGCACAATATAGATAATCTTGAAAAACACTAAAACTAAGAATTAATATTAAAATCAGCCAGATAAATCATATAGGCCATCTAAAAAGACTAACAATTAGAGTTAAGATGACAACTGCAATGATGGGAGCCAGGAAATCGCCAATAATCATGTATTTAGAAAGTATCTCTTAAAAGTAAGAGTGAATTCATTATAATTTTTATGCAAACAAAACTTTAGGATAATTTGTTTTCAAAAATTAATCACATCTCTGGTTAGCTGTATTCCTAGGTATTTTATTCTGTTTGTGTCAGTTGTGAATGGGATTGCCTTCCTGATTTGGGCCTTGGCTTGGCTGTTGTTGCATAGGAATGCTAGTGATGGTTGTACATTGATTTTGTATCCTGAAACTGCTGAAGTTGTTATCAGCTGAATGAGCCAACCAGGGAGGTAAAAGATCTCTACAATAAGATTTACAAAACACTGCTCAAAGTAATCAGAGATGGAACAAACAAGTGGAAAAACATCGCATGCTCATGGATAGAGAGAATCATATCACTAAAATGGCCATACCTCCCAAAGCAATCTACAGATTCAATGTTATTTTTGTGAAACTACCAAGGACATTTTTCACAGAACTGGAAAAAATTACTGTAAAATTCATATGGGACCAAAAAAGACCCCAAATAGCCCAGGCAATCCTAAGCAAAAAGAACAAAGCTGGAGGCATCACGTTACCTGACTTTGAACTACACCACAGGGCTACGGTAACCAAAACAGCATGTTACTGGTACGAAAACAGGCACATAGACCAATGGAACAGAATCAAGAGCCCAGAAATAATGCTGCACACCTATGACCATCTGATCATCTACAAAGCTGACAAAAACGATGGGAAAAAGACTCCCTATTCAATAAATGGCGTTGGGATAACTGGCTAATCTTATGCAGAAAACTGAAGTTGGACCCCTTCCTTACATTATATACAAAAATCAACTCAAATTAAAGACTTCAGTGTAAAATCCAAAACTATAAAAACCCTGGAAGATAACCTAGGCAATAACATACTGGACATAGGAATGGGTAAAGATTTCATGATAAAGACACCAAAAGCAATGGCAGCAAAAGCAAAAATTGACAAATAGGATCTAATTAAATACTTCTTACAGCAATATAAACTATCAACATAGTAAACAGACACCTTAGAAATGGGAGAAAAGTTTTGCAAACCATGCATCCGAAAAGGTCTAATATCAAATATCTAATATCTATAAGGAACTTAAGCAAATTTAAGAGAGAAAAACAAATAATTTTATTCCACATGGAAAGTAATTCAGAGAACTCCCTGCTATATGGGTGTCTCCCAGCATACACAGTATCAGCTCAAGTGTCTCCACCCACTGTAGTACTACATATTCTTTCATTTAAATGATAGATTTCAAATAAATGATGATTGCACCATACTTGTAAAGATAAGAAACAGAACCTGAAGTATTACAATTTTTGATTCTGTGTGGCCGTTTAGAGTTTCTTAAAAACATTTTTGAGGTTAATTTATATGCAATAAATGCACTCAAAGGTCAATAAAAAAGTAGGCAAAGGGCATGAACAGACATGTTTCAAAAGAAGACTTACATGTGGCCAAAAAGCATACGAAAAATAGTTCAATGTCACTCATCATTAGAGAAATGCAAATCAAAACCACCCTGAGATACCATCTCACACAAGTCATAATGGCTACTATTCAAAAGTCAAAAATAACAGATACTGATGAGGTTTATGGATAATAAGGAACACTTATACACTGTTGGTGGGAGTGTAAATTAGTTGAACTATTGTGGAAATCAGTGTGACAATTCTTCAAAAGGCTAAAAAGAGAACTACTATTCAACCCGGCAATCCCATTACTGGGTATATACCTAGAGGAACATAAATCATTCTACCATAAAGACACATGCACAAAAATGTTCATTGCAGCACTATTCACAATAGCAAAGATATGGAATCAACCTAAATGCCCATCAATGACATATTGGATAAACAAAATGTGCCACATATACACCATGGAATACTAGGCAGCCATAAAACACAATGAGATCATGTCTTTTGTGGGAACAGGGATGGAGCTAGAGGCTGTTATCCTTAGCAAACAAATACAGGAACAGAAATCCAATACTGCATGTTCTCACTTATACACAGGAGCTAAATGATGAGAACTTATGAACACAAAGAAGAGAACAACAAACACTGGGGTGTACTTTAGGTGGAGGGTGGGAGGAGGGAGAGGAGCAGAAAAGATCACTATTGGGTACTGGCCTAAATATCTGGGTAATGAAATAATCTGTAAAACAAACCCCCGTGACACAAGTTCGCTATGTAACAAACTTTCACATGTACCCCTGCACCTAAAATAAAAGGTAATAAATAAATAAATAAAATTGAATAAAAATCCCTCAAACAATGAACAAATACTTTTAATCATACACACTTTCAGAGAATAAAATATAGTACCCTTCAACTGATTTATTTAGGCTCATATAATGTTGATAACAAAACCAGACAAGGACATTATAACAAGAGATAGTTTTATGCTGGTATTTGTCATAAACATGAATGCTAAAATCTTTAAAAAACTGCAAACAACTCCAACTCATATTCCCTCTGTGCCCCTCCCTTTCTCAGTTCTTTCTTCCCCACCTATATTCACATATATATCATATATATTAATATTTATGTGCATGCAGCATTATGGTAAGATTATGTTTATTCCAAGAAGGCAAGACTGCATTCATATTAGAAAAATGATTACTGTAATTCATCAATTAAGAGATTAAAGTTGAAGCATCATATGATAATTTCAACAGACGCAGAAAAAGCTTTTGCTTAAAAATTTCAATTTCAACTTCATGAATTTCATAGTTCATGATGAAAATGTTAGCAAACAGAAAATTGAAGTCCTTTACTTGATAAAGTATATTGACGAAAATAAAACAAATGTCATACTATAATAACATTCCATTTAAAATCTGGCATAAGACAAGAAGGAGTCTCATTAATATAGTTACTAGAGGACTAAACCCGTGCAATTAGACAATAAAGAAAAATGTAAATAAATTAAATGAATATATTTTGGAAGGGAAGTCATTATTTGCTAAGCCAGTGTAGGGTAGTGATTTAAGAGAATGAACTTTGGTGCCAAACTGCCTGGGTCCAAATCCTGCTTCTGGAACTTACTATCTATAGGTTCTTAGATATTCTCATTGTGTCTTAGTTTCCCCGTGTGAAAAGTATGGCTAATAATAGTGTTACTGTGAGAATTAATTTACATCCAATTGCTGACTTACGGTCGTTCATCTTATGATCATTTTACTTATTAAAATCTTTTTTGCTTCTATTTAAATCCTTTTTTTTCTTCAACTTTAAGTTCATGGGTACATCTGCAGGCTTGTTACATAGGTAAACATGTGCCATGGTATTTTTCTGCACGGATCATCCCATCACCTAGGTATTAAACCCGTCCTCCATTAGCTAATTCTTCCTGATGCTCTCCCTCCCCCACCCCTTCTACCCCAACCAACAGGCCCCCCACAGTGTGTGTTTCTCCCCCTCCCATGTGTCCATGTGTTTTCATCACTCAGCTTCCATTTATAAGAGAGAACACGTGGTGTTTGTTTTTCTGTTCCTGCATTAGTTTGCTGAATATAATGGCTTCCAGTTTCATCCATGTCCCTGCAAAGGAAATGATCGCATTCCTTTTTATGGCTGCATAGTATTTTGTGGTGTATGTGTACCACACTTTCTCTAAGAAGACACACATGTGGCCAAAAAACACATGAAAAAAAGCTCAACATCACTGATGATTAGAGAAATGCAAATCAAAACCACAATGAGATACCATCTCATGCCAATCAGGAGGGCTATTATTAAAAAGTCAAAAAACAACAGATGCTGGCGAGGTTGCAGAGACAAAGGAGCGCTTTTATACTGCTGGTGGGAGTATACATTAGTTCAACCATTGTGGAAGATATTGTGGCAATTCCTCAAAGACCTAGAGGCAGAAATACCATTTGACCCAGCAATCCCATTACTGGGTATATACCCAAAGGAATATAAATCATTCTATTATAAAGATATATACATGCATATGTTCATTGCAGCACTATTCACAATAGCAAAGTCATGGAATCAACCTAAATGCCCATCAATGATAAACTGAATACTTACGATGTTTTAATTTGTGATGGGCTCATCTGCAGGCAACCCCATCATAAGTCAAGGAGGACTATAACTTACAATGGGGCTATGTTTTCTATTGAACGCATATCACTTTCATGTAATCACAGTCAAAAATTGTAATTTGAACCATGGTAATTTGGGGACCATCTTCTGCACTGTCAGAATTAAATACATTTTCTTCTCATGATATTTTTTATATATAATGAGTTTATCAGGACATGGCCCTATCATAAGTTGAAAAGCATCTGTAATTTTTGTAGAGTGCTTAGAAGTAAAATTAGTGCATGGTAAGTACTATGTAAGTGATAATTTTTTAAAAAAACTCAGGTGATAATGATTTTCTGAAGCTGCCACCGGACTCTAGCCTCCAGCTATCACACACATCTACCCTAGTGTGCTACATGTATATTACTGTATTTGTACAATGATAAGAAAATGACTGGGAAAATTAATGAGAAAATGAAATTTCACCTGTGATATCACATAAAAAAATCTATCCTGCTGGATTAGAGATTTAATTTGGAAAGGCAAAAACATTAAATCTTCTGGAAAAACATAGGACTGCGCTGTTTAATACAATAACCACTAACTACATGTAGCAATTAAAATTTGAATTAATTAAACTAAAATTACACTTTTTCAATACATTAAGTATCCAATAGACACATATGACCATTGGCTAACTTATTGGATAGCATAGACTGTAGAACATTTTATCACCAGAGAAAGTTATAGGACAGTGTTGGTACGGAAGACTGTGCTTATGGCGCTAAGGCAGGGGTCGGCAAACATTTTCTGAGAAGGACCTGAAAGTGAAGATTTTAGGCTTGTATTTATATACAATATATGTTGTATATTTGCATTTATTTGTAAATTTATATATATTTATATTTTATAAATATATGTATACATGTTTATCTTTTATAAATATAGGTATACATGTTTATCTTTTATAAATATATGTATACATGTTTATCTTTTATAAATATATGTATACATGTTTATCTTTTATAAATATATGTATACATGTTTATCTTTTATAAATACATGTATACATATTTATCTTTTATAAATACATGTATACATATTTATCTTTTATAAATACATGTATACATATTTATCTTTTATAAATACATGTATACATATTTATCTTTTATAAATATATGTATATATATTTATCCTTTATAAATATATGTATACATATTTATCTTTTATAAATATATATACATATTTATCTTCTATAAATATATGTATATATTTATATATTTACCTTCAATAAATATATGTA
Organism: Homo sapiens; assembly: GCF_000001405.40. Taxonomy (NCBI): domain Eukaryota; kingdom Metazoa; phylum Chordata; class Mammalia; order Primates; family Hominidae; genus Homo; species Homo sapiens. The sequence continues at coordinate 8,476 of NW_021160030.1, read as the reverse complement.
TATATTCATATATTTATCTTCTACAAATATATGTACATATTCATATATTTATCTTCTACAGATATATGTACATATTCATATATTTATCTTCTATATATGTACATATTCATATATTTATCTTCTATATATGTACATATTCATATATTTATCTTCTATAAATGTACATATTCATATATTTATCTTCTATAAATATATATTCATTTGTTTATCTTTTCTAAATATATATTCATGTTTATCTTTTCTAAATATATATTCATATGTTTATCTTTCCTGAATATATCTATTTATATGTTTATCTTTCCTGAATATATCTATTTATATATTTATCTTTCATGAATATATCTATTTATATATTTATCTTTCCTGAACATATCTATTTATATATTTATCTTTCCTGAACATATCTATTTATATATTTAACTTTCCTGAACATATCTATTTATATATTTATCTTTCCTGAACATATCTATTTATATATTTATCTTTCCTGAATATATCTATTTATATATTTATCTTTCCTGAAATATATCTATTTATATATGTACCTTTCCTGAATATATCTATTTATATATGTACCTTTCCTGAATATATCTATTTATATATGCATCTTTTCTGAATATATGTATTTATATATGTATCTTTTCTGAATATATGTATTTATATATGTATCTTTTATAAATAAATATATTTATCTTTTATAAGTAAATATATTTATCTTTTATAAATAAATATATTTATCTTTTATAAATATATATATATTTATCTTTTATAAATATATATATATTTATCTTTTATAAATATATATATATTTATCTTTTATAAACATATATATTTATCTTTTATAAACATATATTTCTATCTGTTATAAACATATATTTCTATCTTTTATAAACATATATTTCTATCTGTTATAAACATATATTTCTATCTGTTATAAACATATATTTTTATCTGTTGTAAACATATATTTTTATCTGTTGTAAATATATATTTTTATCTTTTATAAATATATATATTTTTATGTTTTATAAATATATATATTTTTATGTTTTATAAATATATATATTTTTATCTTTTATAAATATATATATTTTTATCTTTTATAAATATATATATTTATCTTTTATAAATATATATATTGATCTTTTATAAATATATATATTGATCTTTTATAAATATATATATTGATCTTTTATAAATATATATATATTTACCTTTTATGAATATATATATATTTACCTTTTATGAATATATATATATTTACCTTTTATAAATATATATATTTGCCTTTTATAAATATATATATATTTGCCTTTTATAAATATATATATATTTGCCTTTTATAAATATATATTTACCTTTCATAAATATATATATTTATCTTTCATAAATATATATGTTTATCTTTCATAAATATATATGTTTATCTTTTATAAATATATATGTTTACCTTTTATAAATATATATGTTTACCTTTTATAAATATATATGTTTATCTTTTATAAATATATATATGTTTATCTTTTATAAATATATATGTATTTATCTTTTATAAATATATATTCATATATTTATCTTTTATAAACATATTTATATATTTATATGTATTTATATATTTATATTTTATAAACATATTTATATGTATTTATAGTTCATAAACATGTTTATGTCTTTATAGTTTATAAACATATTTATATGTATTTATACTTTATAAACATACATATATTTATATATTTATAGTTTATAAATATACTTACATATTTATTTATAGTTTATAGATAAACTTATATATTTATATATTTATAGTTTATAGATATACTTATATATTTATATATTTATAGTTTATAGATATACTTATACATTTATATATTTATAGTTTATAAATATACTTATACATTTATATATTTTTAGTTTATACTTATATTTATATATATTTATAGTATATACATATATTTATATATATTTATAGTTTATACATATATTTATATTTTATATATTTATAGTTTAGAAATATATTTATATATATTTAAATATATTTACATTTAAATATATTTGTATATAAATATATAATAATAATTATAATATATTTATATTTATGTATATAAATATATATATTTATAATATATTTATATTTATGTATATGAATATATATATTTATAATATATTTATATGTGTGTATATAAATATATAATATTTATAATAATAGATTTATATTTATATATTATAGCCATATTTATATAGAATATAACATATAAAAATATATTATAATATATAATATAATATATAAAAATATATTATAATATATAATATATAAAAATGTATTATAATATATAATATAATATATATAAATATATTATAATATATACTAGAAATAAATATATTATAATATATAATAGAAATAAATATATTATAATATATAATATAATATATAAATAAAAGATATAATATAATATATATAAATATATTATATAATATAATATAAAAATATACTATAATGTGTAATATTATAATATATATCAATATATTTATAATATATATATATCTATATGAATATGTTTATATATCTACATAAATATTTTTATATTTTTATATAAATATATTTATATGTTTATATGTTTATATTTTTATAAAATATATTTATATGTTTATATTTTTATATAAATATATTTATATGTTTATATTTTTATATAAATATATTCATACGTTTATATTTTTGTATAAATATATTTATACGTTTATATTTTTATGTAAATATATTTATACGTTTATATTTTTATGTAAATATATTTATACGTTTATATATTTATGTAAATATATTTATATATTTATATATTTATGTAAATATATTTATACATTTATAAATTTATGTAAATATATTTATACATTTATATATTTATATAAATATATTTATACATTTATATAAATATATTTATATATTTATATTTTTATATAAATATATTTATACATATAAGTAAATATATTTATATACATTTATATATATATAAATGTATTTATATATATAAATATATTTATATATATATAAATATATTTATATATATATAAATATATTTATATATATTTATATTTATATGTATAAATATATTTATCTGTATTTATATATAAATATATTTTTATATATTTATATATATAAATATATAAATATATTTATATAAATATATTTATGTATGTTTATATATACAAATATATTTATGTATATTTATATATATAAATATATTTATGTATATTTAAATATAAATATATTTATGTATATTTAAATATAAATATATTTATGTATATTTAAATATAAATAAATTTTTGTATATTGATATTTATATATAAATAAATTTTTGTATATTGATATTTATATATAAATATATTTTTGTATATTTATATTTATATAGAAATATATTTTTGTATATTTATTTTTTTATATACCAATATATTTTTGTATACTTATATTTATATATACAAATATATTTTTATATATTTATATTTATATATACAAATATAAGTTTATATATTTATATTTATAGATAGAAATATATTTTTATATATTTATATTAAATATTTAATATTTATTTTTTATATTAAATATTTATATTAAATATTTATTATTTATTTATATTAAATATTTAATATTTATTTATATTAAATAATTATATATTTATATATTTATGTTTATAAATATATATTTATAAATATTTATATATAGAAATATAAATTATATATATTCATGTTTATATATAATTATATATTATATATTATTATTTATATTTATATATAAATATATATTATATATTATTTTTCATATTTATATATATAGATATACATTATATATATTTATATTTATATATAAACATATACCATATATTTATATTTGTATATATAATATATTATTTATATTTATATATTATATATTATTTATATTTATATATAAATATATATTATATATTATTTATATTTATATATAAATATATATTATATATTATTTATATTTACATATAAATATATATTATATATATTTATATTTACATATAAATATATATTATATATATTTATATGTAAATATAAATATATATTGTATATTATTCATATGTAAAGATAAATATATAATTTATATTTATATATAAATATATATTATATATTATTTATATTTATATATAAATATAAATTATATATTTACATTTATATGTTAATATATATTATATATTATTTATATTTATATATAAATATAATATATATTATATTTATATATAAATATATATTATATATTATTTATATTTATATATAAATATATAGTATGTATTATATATATTTATATATAAATAATATATTATATATATTTATATTTATATATAAATAATATATTATATATATTTATATTTATATATAAATATATATGACATATTTATATTTATATATAAATATATATGACATTTTTATATTTATATATAAATATATATGACATTTATATTTATATATAAATATATATGACATTTATATTTATATATAAATATATATGACATATTTATATTTATATATAAATATATATGACATATTTATATTTATATATATATATGACTATTTATATTTATATATAAATATATATGACTATGTATATTTATATATAAATATATATGACATATTTATATTTATATATAAATATATATGACATATTTATATTTATATATAAATATATATGACATATTTATATTTATATATAAATATATATGACATATTTATATTTATATATAAATATATATGACATATTTATATTTATATATAAATATATATGACATATTTATATTTATATATAAATATATATGACATATTTATATTTATATATATATATGACATATTTATATTTATATATATATGACATATTTATATTTATATATATATGACATATTTATATTTATATATATATATGACATATTTATATTTATATATATATATGACATATTTATATTTATATATATATGACATATTTATATTTATATATATGACATATTTATATTTGTATATATATATGACATATTTATATTTATATATAAATATATATGACATATTTATATTTATATATAAATATATATGACATATTTATATTTATATATAAATATATATGACATATTTATATTTATATATAAATATATATGACATATTTATATTTATATATAAATATATATGACATATTTATATTTATATATAAATATATATGACATATTTATATTTATATATAAATATATATGACATATTATTTATATTTATATATAAATAATATGACATATTATTTATATTTATATATAAATAATATATTATATATTATTCATATTTATATATAATATATATTATATATTATTCATATTTATATATAATATATATTATATATTATTATTTATATATTATATATTATATATTATTATTTATATTTATGTATATAAATACATAGATTATTATTTATATTTATATATAAATAATTTTATATTATATATAAATATAAATACTATATATGTTTATATATAATTTACCCATAAGTACAATAAATAAATTTACAAATAAATAAATAAATATGTATATATATATATATATATATATAATATGTATTTAAAAAGACAATCTTAGTAGACCATAAACTTACAACATTCCAGAATTTGACAGTGGGCTATAGTTTGCTGACACTTGCTGTAGGTTAGCGAGAAAATCTCTTAAATATTATTTAAGCAGCTCAATATTTTGGTAAATTTAGTTACACTTACGGATTTATATTCATCAAGAGACACATTAAAAGGAATGGAAAGATAAACCACGAATTTGAGAAAGTATGTGTGACACAAAACTGACAAAAGAAATGTCTCCAGAATATATAACGAACTTCAGTGTCCCAGTAACTGAAAGAAAATAGATATGGGGCATCCTAAAACTCAAATGGCTGGGGAGAATATAAATTGTTACAACAACATTGAAAAAACTCTTTCATATTATCTGTTAAAGATGAATATAAGCAAACCCTTTTGCTATCAATTTAATACACACACACACACACACACACACACACACACACACACATATGTGCCCCTGCAGAAACTCTTAACACAAATAATCTCAGATATATGTAGAGAATACTCAGACAACTTGTTCATAGGCGCCTCCAACTAGAAACAAGCTAGATGTCTGCTAATCTTAGAATGGATAAGTATGTATTATATTTGTATGATGGAATAATAGATATCAATAGTAAACAATGAACTACATCTTCATGCATTAACATTAATGTATCTGAAAAAATGATATTGAAGAAAATTAAGTCACATAGTAATAGGTTCATTATCATTTCATTTCTGTAGAAGTAACACAACAAAACTAAACAGATATTTCAACATTGCATACATATTTGGGAAAAATACAGAAGAAAAGTGAGGGAGTAATTAACATAAAATTCAGGACAGTGAAAAAGCTTAGAGGTTCTAATTTTGTAAGGCACACAGAAAGCTTAGAATGTCTTAGAAATACTCTGTGTATTCATGGATTTAGTTTATGATTAATATTAATAAGGTGCTAGATTTGCTGGGCACAGTGGCTCACGCCTGTAATCCCAACACTTTGGGAGGCTGAGTGGGGTGGATTACCTAAGGTCAGGAGTTCGGGATCAGCCTGGCTAACATGGTGAAACGCTACCGTACTAAAAATACAAAAATTAGCTGGGCGTGGTGGCTTGCACCTGTAATCCTAGGTACTCAGGAGGCTGAGGCAGGAGAATAGCTTGAGCCCGGGAGACAGAGGTTGCAGTGAGCCACGATTGTGCCACTGCACTCCAGCCTGGTGACAGCATGAGACTCTGTCTCAAAAAAAACAATAATAATAATAATAAGGTGCTAGATTGTGACTAAATGTTATCTTGTTTTCCGGGATAAATATTTTTCACAAATAATGCTCTTATTCCTCTTATTCAGTGTTAGAGCCAACTCCTTATTTTATGCAGCATTATTTTCATAAAGCATCAATACTGAATTTCTTCAAAGCATATTTCTAGGTCTCTTTAACTTCTCACTTATCCTCTTCCCAAGCAGTCCCAGCCATGCTTGAAGCCTCAACATACCATGTATTTGCTTTCCTTTAGGGTTTGCAGTGATATATTATTTCATTATTTTATAGAGGATATATTTAGCCCTCACATAAGAGTTGACTCCTAGGGTTGTAAAAATATTAGTTTTGCAGGCTTTATAGAGAAGAGGAATCTTAGAGCAGATGAGCAGCCTAATTTGAAGAGTAAGCTCTGAACTTTGAAAAGCAAATAAATTATCTCAACTGAATAAGGAGAGAAATACATTCAGCTGCAAACTAATAATGCAATCTGATGAGTTGACTAGGGGAAAATACTATTAAAATAGTGTTATTGAAGAAGATATTTGTGGGTAATAACATGTTTTTATTTATTTCACACATTGTGACCTATGGCTTGAAGGAAATCTTTATTCACTACGCCATTATGCCATTCATCTCTGATGAATTGAAGTTATGAGGCATAAGACAAAAAAGGTTTATATAAATGAGTGTATCTAAATAGGATCTTCCGTAACTACATGTCATTTAGGAGAAAAATAGTTTCACTAATGCTGCTTGAGGACATTTCATTATTAGACCTGTTAAATTAAAAAAAAGATCAACATGTCTTATGTCATTATACTGTGTTAAGATTAACTTCATGGAACAGGCAAGATCTTTTAATTCTGCACACCCCTGACTCTACTGGTAGGCAAAAATGGAGTGATCATAAAGTACTATGGACTTTTGATGATTTGTAAAATGTTAAGTAATGGAATCACCGGATAATAACATAGAAAAGGCCATAAAGAGAGCATCTTCTCCAGCTATGTCTCTTTGGCCAGGTTAAAGGGGAGTCTGTTCGTGTTTTGCTTCAAGTGTTTCAGAAACAGACACTTCAACTGGTTCTTTTCTCTAGGATTTCTGCACTCAAAAAGCAGATGTACTTTTCTGATGTTTTAAAGTGTTTCATTTTTTTATTGCACTTGAAACAACATTCTCTTTTTTAGTTACTGGTAATATGAAGATGTGTAGGTTACATTGTATATTAATTTTTCATAGTGAAGAAAGCCATACGGTTCTTTAAGCATTTCTCATGAAACCCATTATCCATTCTTTTAGTTATTTTTATTGCTCTATTTGGGACATGTTTACCTTTTTCTACATAATCCACCTTACTCCTGCAAGAATGGCCATAATCAAAAAGTCAAAAAACAGTTGATATTGGCGTGGATGTGGTGAACAGGGAACACTTCTACACTGCTGGTGGGAATGTAAACTAGTACAGCCACTATGGAAAACACTGTGGAGATTCCTTACAGAACTAAAAGTAGAACTACCATTTGATCCAGGAATCCCACTACTGGGAATCTACCCAGAGGAAAATAAGTCATTATTCAAGAAAGATACTTGCACATGCATGTTTATAGCAGCA
>NW_021160027.1:300000-403128 GCF_000001405.40 Homo sapiens | reverse complement strand
TTTTTTCATTTTCTTTTCCTCTCTTTCCTTTTCAGTCTTTCAGTGGCTGTTTCCTAGTAGCTCCTTGGAAATTGAGAGCAATTGGCTGAGATCACTCATCAGTACTGCCTGAAGGCCTAGGAATGAATGGGAATAATTGCTCTGCCCCGAAGGGGGAAGGAATTTTATTTTTTTATCTTTTCCGCAAGTGGTTCCTGATCCCTACCAGCAGTGAAGCTTGGAGCACACTCGCACATGTTTCAGGGGATGTAAACCTTCTTCTCTTATGCTGAATTCTTCCCTTATCATACTCAACTGGCTAAGGAACAAAAAGGCCCACCCAGCATCTAGATCTTATTACAGTTCATGGCTATTCCTATAAAGCTCATGGTATGCTCTGGAGGGGAAAACCTGCATGTGGCACCCACCTAAGGCTAGAAACGTCTGGAACTCTAAGATTGGACTCCACAGGAGGATGCTTCATAGGTTCTGCAGACCCCAACCACTGCAAAGAGGACGCTCTTGGCAGAGGTTCTGAGGTCTAGTAATAAAAGCCCTCCTTAGAATTTTCTCTCACAATTGTAATGCTGTTTGGCCACAACATTGCTTGGAATCTCGAGTTTACTGTTGAATGGGAAAGTAGAATAGCATTGAATGTAACCAGGCTTTTGTGCTTCGGTCCTAAGCCTGGTTAATATGTGACACCCTCCTCTGGTACAGTTTGGCCCCACGGCCCTTTGGAGTCTGGGGAGGTTTGGCCTTTAAAAATCAAACTGCTGTGGAGACTACTTTGCCCCAAATTTTGGTTCATAGCCTTCATTGGATTATCTACTGGGGCAAATTAAAACTGGCAAGCTTATATTGCTATCTCATGGCTAAGGTTCCAAGCTATTGGATCTTCATTTACTTGTGTGTATACAGGTCTAGATGTGTTTATTTGTATGTATACTTATTATTATAGGTTGTGTCTACCAAAATTGGCTTACAAGTAAAAGGGCCTCATAAATTAAGTAAATAAGTCTAAGCAATTTTCAAGTTCACGTGACTTAAAGTATAACTTTACTAAACAAGCTAGATTTAAAATTATTTGGTGGAATAAAAATAGAAATGCCTTCAGAATTTTCAGCCTACATTTTGTCTGAATTTTATGTTTGTCTTTGTTAGATATTGTTAAATGTCAGTGTTAATTCGAGCTGGGAGCTGCTTGGGGCGAGCCTGCCTCCCATTTTATTCAAAGTCTCACTGAGATAAATGCATATCTGATTGCTTCCTTTGGAAAGGCTCATCAGAAACTCAAAAGAATGTAACCCTTTGTCTCCCACCTATGATCTGACAACCTCCAAACGCCCTCCCTACTTTGAGTTGTCCTGCCTTTCCAGACCAAACCAATGTTCATTTTAAGTATGTTGATTGATGTATCAGGTCTCCTGTGTTAAAAGTAAAAATTATGTACAGTGAATGAGATAAATGTTTTAAGTGAACTTTTTGTGTAAATTAAAATATTAAACTTAATTTTGATGCTCATTTAATGTCTGACTCATTTCCAATTAAGAAGGGGTTGTAATATGGGGCAATGTTTCTAAAATTGTGGAACTGTTCTTATCTATAAATGCCCATATCTGATAGTTCAGGATTTCTTGCTTTTTAGGGCTTCACTAAAGTTTTAGGTTACTAAGGATAAAATTCTAGTTAACACGTAATTCGGTATACAAAATGTGCCAAAAAGAGTTATGTTATTAGTGAAAAATAATAATTTTTGTCTAATTCAGAAGTTATCTAAAAGGTAGTTCAAATTACAGATTTGAAAAGGTTATTTATGAAACAGTGTAGTAAGGAACCATTAAGTAGGGGGAAAGCTGTGGAAAAAGTTTAAATAATAATATATTCTTTAAAAGCTGATAAAGAATTGGAAACATTTGGCTAACGTTTTCATAGCTAAAGCTCATAGTCTTCAGTAAAATAAGAAGCACTGTAAAGAAATGCATTGGCAGTTTGGCAATTCTTTTTTTTTAATATAGTTAAGCATGAAGCTGGATTTAGTGTGGAGCCAAATTTCACATACATGCTTGCACTGCTTCACACTACGTTTACTGTTTTGTGTGGATAGTGCTAGAGTACTTATTGGTGATGTGCCTAAAGTGAATTTCTTAATTGCACAGGAGGTATAATATTGATGAACTTAAGGATATTGAATTGTGTATCAGGAATAAAATATTCATTATGTGGGTTTTTGGAGCCCTAGGCAACACTTGTAGCCTCCAGGGTAAATTGATTAGGAAAATTTAAGGTTGGTTTCCTGTTTATTTGTTTTTGCTTCGAGTTTTAACTTGTTTGCTGTTTATTCTCTTCTGGTTTTACTTGTGTATCCATATATATAGAACCATGCTAGCAGAAACCTTTTATTCGGTTCTGTGAATAGTTACTTTGTTTCCTATGCATTTCTAGCAACTCACCATTTGTTCCATTTTTCTGGAATTCCTAAGCTACCTCTGTCGGGCTGCAGGAATTACTGGAGCACACCAGCTTTTTATTCTTAAACTAACTTTTTGGATTTTAGGCTTCCTGATGCTTTAAGTGTGTTGAGTGTACTCTCACAAATAGAATTTGGGTCATATTTCTCTCTCTGCCTAGGTTCTCCAAAATTTGTCAAAAATATATGAATATTCTTAATTCATGGCACTGTGTTTGTTTGCAAACAGTCAAGCAGGGTCCCCAGGGCCACTCAGGGAGAGAGAAACCAGAAACCTGGCCTGCCACCAAAAGGGTAAGAATTTCTTACCAGTCAGTCTCTGGCCTCTTTCTCTCTGCAAACTGGTTAATCTCCTCCGTGAAGTTCTAAATTAATTAGTTTAATGATAAGAATAACTTAAATCAAATATTTTGTCAGAAAAGTAGAAAGTGTAATGCCCTTTAGTTCACATGACTTTAGCAATCTTTGGGAAATAAAGATGGTTTTAAAGATTATTGGTAAAATATAATTGTCTTCAAAATGTGAACATGTGGTGTAAATTATGTTCAAATATTAGGTTTGCTAAATGCTTTAAGGTCATAAACTGCTTCTTTGGCTTTTGAAAATTGTTTAACTTGCCTGCTTTCCAGCTAGGTAAGGCCTGGGGATATGTGGAGTTCGCCACGCCCCCAGCTATGCTGAAAATAGTCAAACCTTATCAGAACATAACTTACCAGGTTTTACATTAAAGTTAAAATTGCTAAGAGTCACCATTGTAACATGCAATTAAGACTACTAGAAACAGTTTTACATGCAAGGTGTGGAAAAGCAGTACAATGTGGGGTTTTCTTTGGTAAAAGGTTTTTGCTTCTTTAAAATTTCTGAAACATCATTTTGGCAAAATAAATAATTTATGGTAATATAGAATTCCAAAATCACACTTCAGTTTCAAAATTGTCTTTCCTAATGCCTGGCTTTCTGGATGGATCAAAGGGCCCTTGGAAGCATCCAGAAAGGAGGTAAACAGGATTATTTGACATGTTTAGGTACATGGGATTGCCAAAATGATGTTCAATCTTCTTTAGGTTATATTTTTGTGAATAATACTAATATATGTTCCAAAATTGTATGGGATTTGTAAAATACTATATGCTATCAATTGTAATTATGGTTATTATGTTAAGTTATTGTAAACCACAGAAATAACCAAATTTCCTTGTATAAAGCTACTAACCCATGTAGAACCAAAATTAATTAAATATCAAGAAAATGCTTTGTCATGTTTTCATGTTAAACCTGCTGATACTGAAATTGTTTAAAATAGTTAATAACCAATGCTTGGCCCCATATTCCTGGGAAGACAATTAAAGCTTCATGTACATTTGGTCACCTGATGGGCCATTTAAACCTTTTATAAAGGGATTTCATTCGATTTTTTTTCTTTTTTTTTTATTTTTATTTATTTATTTTTTTTTGAAACTGGAGTCTCGCTCTGTGGCCCAGGCTGGAGTGCAGTGGCGCTATCTCGGCCCACTGCAAGCTCCGCCTCCCGGGTTCCCGCCATTCTCCTGCCTCAGCCTCCCGAGTAGCTGGGACTACAGGCACCCGCCACCACGCCTGGCTAATTTTTTGTATTTTTAGTAGAGACGGGGTTTCACCGTGTTACCCAGGATGGTCTCGATCTGCTGACCTCGTGATCCGCCCACCTCGGCCTCCCAAAGTGCTGGGATTACAGGCGTGAGCCACCGCGCCCGGCCTTTTTTTTTTTTTTTTTTGAGGTGCAGTCTCTCTCTGTTGCCCAGTATGGAGTGCAGTGGCACGATCTCAGCTTACTGCAACCTCTGTCTCCCGGGTTCAAGCAATTCTCCTGCCTCAGCCTCCCAAGTAGCTAGGATTATAGGTGCCCACCACCACGCCCAGCTCATTTTTGTATTTTTTAGTAGAGATGAGGTTTCACCATGTTGGCCATGCTGGTCTCAAACTCCTGACCTCAGGTGATCCACCATTCTCGGCCTACCAAAGTGCTGGGATTACAGGTCGTGAGCCACCGCGCCCGGCCCATTTGCTATTTTCAATGCATGTTTTCTGGTTGTATAAAAGCTTTCCCATGCAAGAGGGCTGATGTTATAACACTAGATTATTATGCTACAGTGTATTTTTACCAGGTAAGAATGCTTTTTATGGTTTGGATCTTCTGATAACATCAGAGCAAAACTGTCCTTGCCATCTACACTACAACAAAACCTCAGGACCTTGGGCTTTGGGTTCATAATCTCACAACTGAGAAGGGTCCCTCCACACTCTTGGAAATATGCACCCATTGGAACCCTCAAGCTAAAACTAACCAGAGAAATTTCTCCCAAGAAGAGAATGGCATCCTTGATGTGAACAGCTTTTCCCAAGTTCACAGATTAAGACTTCTATTACATGAAACTCTTATCTTTGAATATTTTTTCTTGCTTATGCCTCTATGAAAAATAGAAGTGGAAAGGGGGTCTGTTATGTGCACTTATGGGGTATTCTTTTATTTGTTGTGCAGAAGTTTAAAGCCAGCCTTATACATGGATAACCTTATACTTTGATAAATAAAAGATGAAGGCACAATGTAGGTAAGAAACTTTAATGCTGCATATGTTGCTTCATAATCAGTCAAAAACAAAACATTGGTTTACTCCTCTTAACCAACATCATGGGTTAAAGAGAACATTGCCAAAAGGCCTTCACTATTTTAAAAGTGCATCATTTGTTAGGTCCTTTCTCCATGGTTTAAAGTAAAAGAAGCAATGATTAGAAATGTATCCCTCATGATAGGTTCTATAGCAAATTCTACTGTAAAGGCTACAGTTACACAACAAACTTTAGATTCTCTTGTGAAACTTATGCTAAATAATAGAATTAGCTAAACAGAAAAGTACCTGTGCAGCTGCTAGCACTTGTAGCCTATGGGGAAATACATCAAATGAAGATTACAGAAAATCAGTGGTAGGGGACTGATGAAGAAGTTGCTTACTCAAGTGAGTAAACTCTTTATCTAGCTCATTCTTTGATCTATTTAGTTTTAGGAGGTTTGGTTTATGGGGACCTTGGGTAGAGAGTATACTCCAAACTCTTGGTATCATCCTCCCAATAATCATAATAATAGTCTCCTTGGTGCACTGTATTCTCTCGAAGGTTTTAAATGCTTGCATCCAGCCATCTCCAGAATGCCATATGGTCTCTCTTCAACTGGAATAACAGGAGCTGAAAGAAATGTGCAACCATGAGGACACTGTAACCTATGAATGATGCGCTGAGACCAGAAACCCAAAATGATGGTAACTAAGAGTGGTGCTAAGTAAGGTCCTAAGTTTTGGTCACACTCTTGCCTAAGTGAGAACCTGACCAAAAAGGGGGAATTTTTGAAACAAAATTCTGGGAGGCCATTGTTTTGGACTGAGCTCATGCACTAGGCCCCAGTAGACCAAACCAAACCAAACCAAAATGGAGTCGTTTGTGCTAAGACTTTAAGGAAACACATAGATTCTGGAACAGATCAGGTTTTGTTTTTTCTCTTGCAAATCTCTGTAGCAAACATTTCTGACAGTATAGCTATCTATCCCCTGAAGTTCCCATTAAATCTTTTAACCAAATTCATTTCCTGTCGCCTAGGGACCATCAAGCTTCAGATGATCATGCAAAAAAGGTTCCACCCAGTTCTAGGTGAAGACACCACCCCTGGCCATCAAGAAGCTACCCTGCCTCCACTAGATAGAGCAGGGTGAGTTTCATAATCCCCAATAGGTAGGAACTACACCCCAAGCCAGAATGAAGCAGTTACAGAAGAAAGACCTTTGGTTCTTCTGTCTCCCATAAAGATTTATGGGGATCACATCTCTTGTGGGGGAGATGAGGCAGGAAAATAGGGTGTGGAGGCAGGGAACATAAGGCCAATTAACACTTCAGCTATAACAGAAAATATCCTCTCCACAGAGCGTTGGCCAAGTAAATGACTTTGTTACTTTACTTCATCCTCTCCATTTACATAGGGCAGACTTGAAGTAACCAATGGAATCCTCTAGGGTGTATTTAAACTCCCAAAAATTCTGTAACATGGCCTTTGAGCCCCTATGCTCAAGCCCACTCCCACACTGTGGAGTGTACTTTCATTTTCAATAAATCCCTTCATTCCTTCCTTGTTTTGTTTGTGCATTTTGTCCAATTCTTTGTTCAAGATGCCAAGAACCTGGACACCCTCCACCAGTGACAATACCATATAATCAGGAAGGAATCTCCAATACCCCGCTTCTCACTGAGGAGTAAAGAGTTTGGACCACATATATAGTGCCCCAACTTTTATGGTTTCCCCAGAGGCTTTTGCTCTCAAATCACATAGCCCTGAAAATGAAAGGTACTCAGCATTCTCAGGTTTCCCTAGGCCGCACACAACAAAGAGGTGGTTTTGAATGAGTACAAAGGAATGTCCAGTAGCTGTAGTGCCTGAGATAAGTCCACAGGGAATGGGCTAAAATGTCCAGCTCCCTATATCTCCCTGGAAGTGGTTTGTCTGCACACTTTTACATCTTTTGCCAGAGAGTCAGGCTTCTGGCTAGCCTATATCTGGGAGCAGATGGGGCAAATAAACTATAGACTTCCATGAGCTTGAATGGAAGTATAGGTACTTCCCAGGCCTCATCTCTCAGACAGTGGCAGACATAAATCCATGTGTACAGATTCTTTCTAGAAGCAGTTTATGCATGCATCAAACACCCTATATTAGTCCTTTCTCACACTGCTATAAAAGAACTGCCCAAGACTGGGTAATTTATAAAGGAAAGAGGTTTAATTGACTCGTAGTTCTGTATGGCTGGGGAGGCCTCAGGAAACTTATGATCATGGTGGAAGGAGAAGCAAATATGTCCTTCTTCACATGGCAGCAGGAAGGAGAGATGCCAAGCAAAGGGCGAAAAGCCCCTTATAGAACCATCACATCTCATAAGAACTTACTATCATGAGAACAGCATGAGGGTAACCACCCCCATGTTTAAATTACCCCCCACTGGGTCCCTCCCATGACATGTGGGGATTATGGGAACTACAATTAAAGGTGAGATTTGGGTGGGGACACAGAGCCAAACACCCCAACTTTTGCAGCTCCCACCTCAGAGTCTGGCTCCTAAATCACCTAGCTCTGAGAATTGACAAGGCTCTGAATTTATGAGACTCCCTAGATAACAAAGAACAAAAAGGTAGTTTATTAAGAGAGTGTTAGATAAACTCCAGCTTTTAGTTTCTCCCTGAGGATAGAATGAACTGGAATACTCATCTAACACCCCCAACCTTTTCAGCTGCATCTTGAGGAGGTGGTTTCTACTTCACCTATCTGAAGGCAATAACAGGACTTGGCACATCCTTATCTACTTGGGGCCATTATGAACACAGACTGTGGTTTGGACAAGCAAGAGGATTTGAGAGGGACCTAGAATCTCTGACCAGGCTGATTGGTGAGATTCATCTCTTACACAAAGCCAGTCTGACAAGACTAGGTGCAGCAGTTATCTTATCTAATGCACGATAACTATCAGAGTCAAAGAAGAAATAAAAATTTTAAAAATATCTTGAGATGAATGTAAACTAAAACACAGCATAACAAAACTTATGGTCTGCAGCAAAAGCAGTAATAAGAAAAAAAGCTTATAACAATAAACATCTATATTAAGAAATAAGAAAAATTTCAAATAAATAACCCAACCATATACCTCAAGAAACTAGAAAAAGAAAAATTGACTAAACCCAAAGTTAGCAGAATAAAGCATATAACAAGGATCAGAGCAAAAATAAATCAAATACAAAATAATCAATACTAAGAACTGGTTTTTGTAAAAAATAAGATCAACAAATCCTTAGCTAGACTAAGAAAAAAAGAGAGAAGACTCAAATAAAATACAAATGAAAGAGGAGATATTACAATGGATGCCTCAGGAAAAAAAAAGAATATTAAGGGACTATTATGGACAGTTATATACCAGCAAATTGGAAAAATGGAAAAATTCCTAGAAATATACAACCTGCTAAGACTTAATCAAGAAGAAATATAAAGTCTGAATAGACCAATTACAAACAAAGCGATTGAAGGTAGTAATCAAAAACCTCCTAACAAAGAAAAGCTCAGGACCATATGGCTTCACTAGTGAATGCTACCAAACACTTAAGGAAAAATTACATAAATCCATTTCAAACTCTTCCAAATATCTGCAAAAGTAGGGACACTTCCCAACTCATTCTATGAGACAGCATTTACCTAAAATTGAAGCCAGAGAAAGACACCACACAAAAAGAGAAAACTACAGCCCATATCTTCTATGAATATAAATAAAAAATCTTCAACAAAATATTAGCAAATTGAATTAAGCAGGATATTAAAAAGATTATATTCCAAGACAAAGTGAAATTTATCCCAGGTACGGAAGGGTGGTTCAACTTACAAAAAGCAATCGTCGTAATATATCATAATATAGGAATTAAGGACAAAACTCACATATCATCATCTCAAATAAATTCAGAAAAAGCATTTGACATAATTCACCATACTTTCATGATAAAGACTCTCATCAAATTAAGTATAGAAAGAATGGCCTCAACATAATAAAGGCCATATATGATAAGCTAACAGCTAAAATGATTATACTGGAAAAGGCAGAAAGCTTTTCCTCCAACATCAGGAAGAAGACAAGAAATGCTAACTTCACCACTTCTATTCAATATATACCAGAAGTTCTAACCAGAGTAATTAAGAAGAAATAAAAAGTATCCAAATTGGAAAGAAAGAAATAAAATTCACAGATGACGTGATCTTATATGTAGAATTCCCTAAATGTTCCAAAGAAAACTATTAGAGCTAATAAATAAATTTACCGAAGTCTCTATATACAATTTCAACATGCAAAAAATCAGTTGCATTTCTATACAATATTTATAAACATTCTGAAAGGGAAATTAACAATTCAACTTATGAAAAAGAATATAACGTTTAGGAATAAACTTAAGAAGGCACAAGATTTGTATGCTGAAAACTATGAAATATTGCTGAAAGAAATTAAAGAGACTAAAATAAATGAAAAGACAGCCTATGTTTTTGGATATAAGATTTAATATTGTTAAGATGGCAATACCCCACAGCACATGGATAATTCTCAAGGATAGACCATATGATAGGTAACAAAAAAGCCTTAAAACATTCCAAAAATTAAAATAATATCAAGCATCTCCTCTGACCACAATGGAATAAAACTAGAAATTAATAAAAAGAGGAATTTTGGAAACTATACATTGAAAAATGCATGGAAATTAAATAATATGCTCCTGAATGACCAGTGGATTAATAAAGAAATTAAGAAAGAAATTAAAAATTTTCTTGAAACAAATGATAATGAAAACGCAACACACCAAAACCTATGGGATACAGCAAAAGCAGTACTAAGAGGGAAGTTTACAGCTATAAGTGCCTACATCAAAAAAAAGAAGAAAATTTTCAAATAAACAATCTAAGGATGCATCTTAAAGAGCTAGAAAAGCAAGACCAAATGAAACCCAAACTAGTAGAAGAAAATAAATAATAAATATCAGACCAGAAATCAATCAAGTTGAAATTTTAAAATAATACAAAAGATCAATAAAACTAAAAGTTGGTTTTCTGAAAAGTTAAACAAAATTGACAAACCTTTAGCCAGGCTAACTAAAAAAGAAAAAAGACCCAAATAAATAAAATCATAAATGAAATGGGAGAGATTAAAACTAATATCACAGAAATTCAAAGAATCATAAGTGCCTACTATGAGCAACTACACACCAATAAATTGGAAGATTCAGAAGAAACTGACAAATTCCTAGATACATACAACCTACCAAGAGTGAACTAGGAAGAAATCCAAAACCTGAACAAACTAATAACAAGTAATGAGATCAAAGCCATAATAAAATGTCTCCCAGTAATAAAAAGCCTGGGACCTGAAGAATTCATTGTTGAATTCTACCAAACATTTAAAGAGCTAATACCAATCCTACTCAAGCTATTCCAAAAAATAGAGGATGAGGGAATACCTCCAAACTCACTGTATGAGGCCAGTGTTACTCTGATAACAAAACAAGACACAGACACATCAAAAAAAGAAAACCACAGGCCAATATCTCTGATGAATATTGATGAAAATCCCTCAACAAAATACTAGCAAACCAACTTCAACAATACATTAGAAAGATTTATTCTTCATGACCAAGTGGGACTTATCTCTGGGATGCAAGAGATGGTTCAACATACACAAATTAATCAGTATGATACATCATATCAACAGAATGAAGAATAAAGACAATAATTTCAATTGATGCTGAAAACAAATTTGATAAAATTCAACATCTCGTCATGATAAAACCCCTCAAAAACTGGGAATAGAAGGAACATACCTCAACATAATAAAAGCCATAAATGACAGAGCCACAGCTAGTATCATACTGAATGGGGAAAAACTGAAAGCCTTTCCTCTAAGATCTGGAACATGACAAGGATGCCCACTGACACCACTGTTATTCAACATAGTACTGAAAGTCCTAGCTAAAGCAATCGAACAAGACATAGATATAGATAGGTGGGACTGTAAACAAGTTCAACCATTGTGGAAGTCAGTGTGGTGATTCCTCAGGGATCTAGAACTACAAATACCATTTGACCCAGCAATCCCATTACTGGGTATATACCCAAAGGACTATAAATCATGCTGCTATAAAGACACATGCACACATATGTTTATTGCGGCACTATTCACAATAGCAAAGACTTGGAACCAACCCAAATGTCCAACAATGATAGACTGGATTAAGAAAATGTGGCACATATACACCATGGAATACTATGCAGCCATAAAAAAGGATGAGTTCATGCCCTTTGTAGGGACATGGATGAAATTGGAAATCATCATTCTCAGTAAACTATCGCAAGGACAAAAAACCAAACGCCGTATATTCTCACTCATAGGTGGGAATTGAACAATGAGAACACATGGACACAGGAAGGGGAACATCACACTCTGGGGACTGTTGTGGGGTGGGGGGAGAGGGGAGGGATAGCATTAGGAGATATATCTAATGCTAAATGACGAGTTAACGGGTGCAGCACACCAGCATGGCACATGTATACATATGTAACTAACCTGCACATTGTGCACATGTACCCTAAATCTTAAAGTATAATAAAAAAAAGACATAGATATTAAGGCATCCAAATTGTAAAGGAAGAAGTCACATTATCTTTGTTTGCAGATGATATAATCTTGTATTTGGAAAAACCTAAAGACTCCACAAGAAAAATGTCAGAACTCATAAAGATATTCAGTAAAGTTGTAGGATACAAAATCAACATACATAAATCAGGAGCATTTCTATATGCCAACAGAAAACAATGTAAATAAGAAATTTAAAAAGTAATCCCATTTACAACAGACACACATTAAATTAAATACCTAAGAATTAACCAAAGAAGTGAAATATTTATATAAGGAAAACTATAAAATACTGATGAAAGAAATTGAAGAGGACAACAAAACAGGAAAAGATATTCCATGTTAATGGATTGAAAGAATCAATATTGTTAAAAATGTCCACATTACACAAAGCAATCTACAGATTCAATGTAATCCTTATCAAAATACCAATGACATTCTTCATAGAAATAGAAAAAAAAATCCTAAAATGTAGATGGAACCAAAAAAGACCCAGTGTAGCAAAAGCTATCCTAAGTAAAAAGAATATAACTGGAGAAATCACATTGCCCGACTTCAAATCATACTACAGAGCTATAGTAACCCAAAACAGCATGATATTGACATAAAAATAGACACATAGTCCAATGGAACAGAATATAGAACTCAGAAACAAATCCACACACCTACAGTGAACTCATTTTTGACAAAGGTGCTAAGAACATACACTGGGGAAAAGACAGTCTCTTCAACAAATGGTGCTGGAAAAACTGGATATCCAAATGCAGAAGAATGAAACTTGACCTCTATTTTCCCCCATATAAAAAAAATCAAATCAAAATGGATTAAAGACAAATCTAGTACCTCACACTATGAAACTACTACAAGAAAACATTGAGAAAAATCTCCAGGACATTGGTCTAGGCAAAATTTTCTGGAGCAATACCCCACAAACACAAGCAACCAAAACATAAATGGACAAATGATATCACATCGAGTTAAAAAGCTAATGCACTGCAAAGAAAACAATCAACACAATGAAGAACAACCCACAGAATGGGAGAAAATATTTGCAAAATACTCATCTGACAAGAGATTAATAACCAGAATATATAAGGAGCTCGAACAACTGTATTAAAAAAATCTAATAATCTGATCAAAAGATGGGCAAAATATTTGAACAGACATTTCTCAAAAAGAAGACCTATAAAGTGACAAACAGGCATATGAAAAGGTGCTCAACATCATTTATCATCAGAGAAATGCAAATCAAAAATACAATATCATCTCACTCCAGTTAAAATGGCTTATATTCAAAATGCCATGTATATGTGTGTATATATGTATACACATTGCAATACACTGTATATATATACATCCCACATATATACATACAATGAAATATTATTCAGCTTTAAAAAGGAAGAAAATTCTGACACAGGCTACAACATGGATTAACCTTGAGATCATTACGCTAAGTAAAATAGCCAGTCACAAAAAGACAAATACTATAAGATTTCACTTATATGAAGTACTCAGAGTAGTCAAATTCATAGAGACAGAAAGTAGAAAAGTTTTCAGAGTTTCAGTAGCTGTACATTTTAAAATAACTTAAAGAGTGTAATTGGATTGTTTGCAACTCAATGGATAAATGCTTGAGGGGATGCATACCCCATTTTTCATGATGTGCCTATTTCACATTACACCAAAACATCTCATGTATCCCAAAAATATATACACCTACTATATACTATCAAAAATTAAAAATAAAAAAATTTAAATGGCAATACTACCCAAATCAATCCACAGATTCAATGCAACTCCTATGAAAATTTCGATATTTTTTACAGAAATGGAAAGACCTACCCTAAAATTTATATGAAATTTCAAGAGACCCGGAGTAGCCAAAACGATATTGAAAAAGAACATTAGAAAATTCATACTTTCTGATTTTGAAACTTACTACAAAGCTACAGTAATCAAAATAGTGCTGTCATATGTACAGACATATAAACCAGTGGAATTGATTAAAAATTTTTCAACAAGAGTTCTGAGATCATTTAATGGGGAAAGAACAATCTCTTCAATAAATGGTGCTGGGAAAACTGGACAACCATATGCAAAAGAATGAAGTTCAACCTGTACATTATATCATATACTAAAATTAATACAAATGAATCAAAGGCCTAAATCTAAGAGCTAAAATAATAAAACTCTTTGGAGGAAATATATGGGCAAGTTTTTATTACCTTGAATTTTGCAATAGTTTTATAAATATGACACCAAAAGCACAGACAAAAAATAAAAAAAATACTTCATTAAGATGAAGAACTCTTGTACATCAAATAATCAAGAGAGTGAGAAAAGATATTTGCATATCATAATCTGGTAGGACTTAACATCCAAACTATATGAAGGTCTTCTATAACTCAGCAACCATCTAAAAACCCATTTTAAAAATAGGCAAATTACAAGAGTATACTTTTTTGGTAAGAAGATATATATATCATCATCATTAGTTATTAGGAAAATTCAAATCAAAGACAACTCATTGGAGACACAACTTCATGTTTACTATAATAGCTATAATAAAAAATGTAAAGGAAAACAGCAAGTTTTGTTGAGGATATGGAGAAATTAGAATCCTTGCACATTGCTGGCGGGAATGCAAAATGGTGCAGCCACTATGGAAAACAGTTTGGAGGTTTCTCAAAAAGTTAAACATAGGATTATTGTATGACCCAACAATTTTACTCCTAGGTATATACCCAAAAGAACTGAAAACAGGGATTCAAACAGATACTTGTATACCAATGTTTATAGCAGCATCATTCACAATACCCAAAAGGTGGAAACAATCCATGTGTCCAGCAACAGTAGAATGAGTAAGCAGAATGCAGAACAGTCTATGCTCATTATTCATGGCATTTATGTTCTTTCTTTTTTTTTTTTTGAGATGGAGTCTCGCTCTGTCACCCAGGCTGGAGTGCAGTGGCGCGATCTTGGCTCACTGCAAGCCTCGCCTCCCGGGTTCACACCATTCTCCTGCCTCAGCCTCCTGAGTAGCTGGGATTACAGGCACCTGCCACCACGCCCGGCTCATTTTTTGTATTTTTAGTAGAGATGGGGTTTCACCATGTTAGCCAGGATGGTCTTGATCTTCTGACCTCGTGATCCACCTGCCTCGGCCTCCCAAAGTGCTGAGATTACAGGCGTGAGCCACCGTGCCTGGCCTATTCGTGGTATTTATGTTCTATAGCATTGTCATTAGCACCAAATTAGCAAATACTGAACTACTGTTCCTAGGGAAAATTCAGGTTTAGGTATGTGTGAGCCTCTTAGGCCATAATATTTCCATCATCTCATCAATACATAACCTTGTTTTATGTGTATTTCTTATTTAATATATAGTTGATTTATTTTTACTAAACTCGCAGCCAACAGCACTATAATTCATACCTGAACAAAGCTTATATTATACATTATTTTTTCTATAAGGCACATCACAGCCTTCTTGTGCTTAGAAACACTAGAAAGCACTTCGACACTATGCTTCTGGGCCATTCTAAACAGCAAAATCACCCAAAAAAAAAGCAGAAAAATGCAAAAACCATGGCACTAAATAGATAGCAAAGAGGACACTTGTTTAAAATATGAGAGCTGAAACAAAAAGGCAGACTATCACTTTGTTCAACCTCAACTAGGAATATGTGCATAAAGAGACTCAAATTTTTTTCTGTTCTGAAAAACTGCTTCTCTGAAAAAAATAAAATTGCTGTGTGAATGACTGCATAAGTGTTGATTCTGATTTTAGGGTTACAAATCTAGAGGTGATTTAAAGTGCATGGGAGAATGTGCCTAGATTATATGCAAATACTATGCCATTTTATGTAAGGGACTTAGGCATCTGTGGATTTTGATATCCACAGGTGTCCTGAAATCCCCTGTAGATACCAAGGGAAAACTGTATTCAGGTGGTGGCTTGGCTGGTATAGAGGATCCAAGACACATCACTCATATTCCTGGTTCCTTGACAAGAGCAGCTCAATGATACTCCTCCTCCTCCCTATGGAGTCTCAGAGCTTCTCCACATGGTCCTTTTAGCAGGATTTTGAGACATGGTGGCTCAGGGCTCCATGAAACCAAGCAAGAAGCTTCCAGTACTTTTACCAGCTAGGCCCAGCAATGGCACAGCATCAATTCCACCATACTCCATTAGCCAGAGCAGGGACTAGCCAGCCCAGATTCAAATATAGGGGAAGTAAACACCAACACTTGATGGAATAAATGTCACAGAATTTGAAGCCATCCTTAATCTACCACAAATACTTAACCAAAATAGCTAAGAAGTTATCTATTCCAGTTCTGAACATCTCCTGCCCCACATTGTTTATTCCCACACAATTTTGTCCCTGCAACAGTAGCTTTATACTCTAAGATATTTTTACTAATAGAAATGAAGTATATGACATGAAACTCAGGCTTTAAGATCTTTTTTGAAATCTTTGATGAATAGGTGGGATGGACAGAAGTTTGTCACTTCAAGGTCTGCAAGAAGTTCCATCTCTTTAGAGATGAAGATTTTCGGTCAGTTTGGGGTACAGTATTCCTTCATCTTATTTTGGGGAAAATTGTTAAGCTATATGCAGAGACTATAGACTTAAGTTTCAACTGTACTGTTTAATAAATTACGTATATCTTTAGCTGAACTATGAGGAGTTAGGAATATTTTAATATGGATTTTTATTTGATTGTCTCAGAAAATTATCTTTAAAAATTCTAAGTAGGTCTTTTTGTCCAAATACTTGCTCCCAAGAAATTGGAAGAACAAAACCATGCCATGGAGAATATATAGATCTCATAATTTCTTCACTTCATACTAGAGTAAAGACTGTAAAAACCAAATGAATGTGTAGGTTAAGTGTTCTGGTTTTTAAGTATAAATGATGTTTATGGTTGAGCAAGGACTCTATTTCTGAAGCTTTGTGTAACATAAGGGTGAGTAAAAAATTTTGCTATACTATGTATGAACTGAGATAATATTATGACTGAAACATTACTTGTGATTGTAGAAATGAGCATGGACCTTTTTGTTTAGCTTTAGTTTGTTTTTGTTTTGTTAAGAGATATCAAGATATATTACATTCAGGTAACATAGCTTTGGTGCCTAGGGGACAGACATTCTCCCTATCTCCACAAAGAGCCCAGCACCCTCTAATGCCCCAAAGACATGTGACTTAGAAAAATAACACCCTAAGCATAGATACTGACAATTTTCTGAAGGATAATCCCAATGCAAGCTACAGTGAGGCTCCACTAAACTGCTTCAAGAGCGGTGGATATTAGCTGAAGGAATAGGAGAAAAATATCATGGCAGTTGTAATGTGGTAATTATAGTGGGCAACAGGCTTGGGAACACATTTACTGTACACTTTTGAAAAATTCCAGATACATGTGTATACATTCCAGAAGGGGAGGGTTGCTAAGTTCAAGATATGAGGCCAATGAAAGTTCAAGCTATGGTAATTTGAGCATCAAATGTTAGGGTGTCTGGGAAGTATTTCTTAAACAAGACTCAAAAAGTACAAACCATAAAAGAAGATTAATAAATATGAACACACTAAATAAAAAAATTCTGATGATCAAAGTCACCATGAGAAAAGCAAAAAGATAAGCCACAAATTAAAGGAAGGTATCCTCAACACATATGACACATGTATTAGTACCAAGATGACATTAGCAATTAATAAAAATAAATTTAAAACACTGTTCAGTAGAAAAATGGACAAAAGACACAAAAATGCATTTCACAAATAAGAAAATAAGAACAACCAATAAAGATAATTTAAAATGTTCAAACTCATTAGTAACTAAAGAGATTAAAAATAATATCACAATAAGCTCTCACAATAAACTCACCAAGGTAAAATTGTAGATATGCATACTCTATTATACAGC
Source organism: Homo sapiens (assembly GCF_000001405.40). NCBI lineage: Eukaryota > Metazoa > Chordata > Mammalia > Primates > Hominidae > Homo > Homo sapiens. The sequence goes on along the minus strand of NW_021160027.1, from coordinate 385,515 downwards.
AATTCTACTCATAAGTATTTGCCCCAGAGAACTTCTCACACTTCTAACAACATACACAGTGTATTAGTCCGTTTTCATGCTGCTGATAAAGACATAACCCAGATGGGACAATTTACAAAAGAAAGAGGTTTAATGAACTCACAGTTCCACGTGGCTGCAGGGGTCACTTCCCACAGTCCAGGGCCCAGGTGGGGAGCAGTCCTGCAGCCAGACAGGCTCCCAACAGTGACCACCACAGGCCAAGCCACAGTCTTCCTTCAAACCCCCTAGGCAGGTCAGTCTCTCCTCCAGCTCTGGGAAGGGCATCATCTCCAGAACACCTGCGCCTGCGGACAATCCGCCGCTGTGTGGCTGGGGAGGCCTCACAATCATGGCAGAAGGTAAAAGGCAAATGTCACATGGCAGCAGACAAAGAAGAGAATGAGAGCCAAGTGAAAAGGGTTTCCCCTTATAAAACCATCAGATCTCATGAGACTTATTCACTACCACGAGAACGGTATGGGGGAAACTGCCCCACGATTCAGTTAACTCCAACTGGGTCCCTCCCATAATACAAGGGAATTATGGGAGCTACAATTCGAGATGAGATTTGGGTGGGGACACAGCCAAACTATATCACAGAGCAACATTTTAAATATTTATTGACAGAAAAATGAACAAATTATAATATAGTCATATAAAAAAGTATTATAGAACAATGAAAATGAATGAAGAGGAAGACAAATTTTGAGGGGTTAGCAAAATGGCAGATAGGAGACAGGACTACATTATAGCCCCCACTCAGACAGACAGAGCAGCATGTGGAGACTCACGTTGTAAACTTTTGCTCCAAGAACTACCACAGGAACATACCAGGAAAGCCAAGAGAATCCATAGACCCTTTGAAAGAAGTGAATTGCTCCTGCAGGCCCTGGGAGACAGCCCAAACACTGTGAGTGCCCAAAGTGTGAAAGTGTGAAAGGGGGATCATCTGCCCCCAAACACACATCATCACTGGGGAACATGAAGTTCCAGATCATGGGAGAAGGATTTGACCTTACCTGGAACAGAAACAATTTTAGAGAGCTGAGCCAAACACAGCGGTAGAAGAAGCATGGGGAAGAGCCCTGTGGGCTCTCTTGGTCCCCAGGAAAGCCATTTCTGACTTTGTCTCACAGAGGTCCTTGGGAAGGGCTGCCAGAGGAACTGGGAAAAGACCACAGGGAGAAGTAAACTTCAAGTTGAACTTTATAACAATTTCAACTGAACGCATAGTTTCCTGGACAGAATTTGAGGGACGGGGTGAATGCAGAGTGCAGACACAGCACAGAAGCTGCGGCAGGTTGGGGGTACGAAACCTGAAAGCTCTGCTTACTTTCACATCAGGGAGGCTGGTAGAGTGGGGCAAGTTCTCAGCCCTGCTCACCCACTGCCTGGAAACAAACTTGGTGCTGTTGCAGGGAACATGGTGGGAGTGAGACTGGCCTTTTGGGCTGCGTGGGAGCTGAGCAACGCCTGTAACTGTGGGAGTATTTTAGTTTAATTAAGTCTCATCTATTTATCTTTGTTTTTGTTTCATTTGCTTTTGGGTTCTTGGTCATGAAGTCTTCGCCTAAGCCAACGTCTAGAAGGGTATATATATATACATATATATATGTATACATATATGTACACATATATATACACATATATACATATATACACATATATATACATATATATGTGTATATATATATATATATAATCTTTGCTTTGTTGAAGATCAGTTGGCTGTAAGTATTTGGCTTTATTTCTGGGTTCTCTATTCTTTTCCATTGGTCTATGTGCCTTTTTTTTTTTTTTTTTTTTGAGATGGAGTCTCGCTCTGTCGCCCAGGCTGGAGTGCAGTGGCTCACTGCAAGCTCTGCCTCCTGGGTTCACGCCATTCTCCCGCCTCAGCCTCCCGAGTAGCTGGGACTACAGGTGCCCACCACCATGCCCAGCTAACTTTTTGAATGTTTTAGTAGAAACAGGGTTTCACCGTGTTGGCCAGGATGGTCTCGATCTCCTGACTTCATGATCCGCCCGCCTCAGCCTCCCAAAGTGCTGGGATTACAGGCGTGAGCCACTGTGCCTGGCCCTATGTGCCTATTTTTATACCAGTACCATGCTGTTTTGGAGACTATGGCCTTATAGTATAGTTTGAAAAAAATCATAGATGACACAAACAAAAGGAAATACATCCCATGCTCATGGATGGGTAGAATCAATATTGTGAAAATGACATAGTACAACCACTATAGAAAACAGTGTGGGGATTGCTTAAAGAACTAAAAGTAGATCTACCATTTGATCCAACAATCTCACTACTAGGTAGCTACCCAGAGGAAAAGAAGTAATTATGCAAAAAAGATTCTTGCACACACATGTTTATAGCAGCACAATTTGCAAATACAAAAATATGGAACCCGCCCAAATGGCCATCAATCAACTAGTGGATACAAAAAATGTGGTATGTATATACACCATGGAATATTACTCAGCCATTAAAAGGAACAAAATAATGGCTTTCACAGAAACCTGGATGGAATTGGAGATTATTATTCTAAGTGAAGTAACTCAGGAATGGAAAACCATACATTTTATGTTCTCACTCATAATTGGGAGCTAAGTTATGAGGACGTAAAGGCATAAAAATGATACAACAGACTTTTGGGACTCGGTGGAAAGGATGGGAGGGTGAGGGATAAAAGACTACATGTTGGGTACAGTGTACGCTGCTTGGGTGATGGGTGCACCAAAATGTCAGAAATCACCACTAAAGAACTTATTCATGTAACCAAACACTTGTTCCCCAAAAACCTATTGAAATAAAAAAAATTTAAGTTAGAAAGATCTCAAATTGACAAGCTAACATTGCATCTTAAGAAACCTAGAGAAACAGGCTGGGTGTGGTGGCTCACTCCTGTAATCCCAGCACTTTGGGAGGCCGGGGCGGGCGGATCACCCGAGGTCAGGAGTTCAAGACTAGCCTGGTCAACATGGTGAAGCCCCGTCTCTACTAAAAATAAAAAAATTAGCTGGGCATGGTGGCGTGCACCTGTAGTCCCAGCTACTCGGGAGGCTGAGGCAGGAGAATCGCTTGAACCCGGGAGGCAGAGGTTGCAGTGAGCCAAGATCACGCCACTGCACTCCAGCCTGTGTGACAGAGTGAGACTCCATCTCAAAAAAAAAAAAAAAAAAGAAATCCTAGAGAAACAAGAGCAAACTAACCCCCAAAGCTAGCAGTACAAGATATAGCCAAAATCAGAGATGAACTGAATGAAATTGACATGTAAAAAAAAATTCAAGAGATAAAGGAAACCAGGAGTTTTTTATTCAAAAGGATAAGATTGGTAGACTGCTAACTAGAATAATAAAGAAAAATGAGAAAATATTGAAATAAACACATTCAGATATGAGAAAGAGGACATTACCACCAACCCCAAAGAAATAAAAGAAACCCTTCGAGACTGTTACGAACAGCTCTATGCACATAAATTAGAAAATCTAGGAAAAAAATCGGTGAATTTCTAGACACATACAATGTCCAAAGATTGAACCAGGAAAACACAGAATCCCTGAAGAAACTAATAATGAGTTCTGACACTGAATCAGTAATAAAAAGCCTACTAAGCAAAAAAAAAAAGCCCAGAACCAGATAGATTCACAGCCAACCTCTACCAGATGTATAAAGAAGAACTGATACAATTTCAACAGAAACCATTCAAAACAACTTGAGGAGGAAGGCTCTCCCTAACTCATGCTATGAGGCCAACATCATCCTGACATCCTGACTTGTCTCAGGTTCACAGATTAAGACTTCTATTACATGAAACTCTTATCTTTGAATATTTTAGCCCTAGCTAAAGCAATCAGACAAGAGAAAAATATAAAGGGCATCCAAATTAGAAAGAAAGAAGTCAAATTATCCTTATTATAAGATCGTATCAATCTTATAATTGGAAAAACCTAGACTCCAACAAAAAACCGTTAGAACTCATAAATTCAGTAATATTGCAAATACAATATCAACACACAAAAATCAGTAGCATTTCTGTATACCAACAGATTAATTGCAAAAAGGATATCGCTAAGGTATATAGTAATCAGGATATCTAAAATCAATATGAAGGAAAGAATTCTAAGACCAGTGAGACAAAAGTATCAAATAACATATAAAGGAAAACCTATCAGATTAAGAGCATACTTCTCAGCAGAAACTTTACAAGTCATAAGGGATTAGGGTCCTAAGTCTCCTAGAGGAGAATAACTGCCAGCCAAGAATTTTGTATTCTGCTAAACTAAGTTTCATAAATGAAGAAGAAATAAACTTTTTCTCAGGCAATCAAACATTTAGGAAATTTGCTGCCACTAGAACAGCATTACAAGAAATACTCAAAGGAATTTCAAATATCAAAATGAAAGGTCTATATGCATCAATATAAAAACACTTGAAAGTATAACTCACAAGACTTGTAGAACAGTAACAGAATGGAAAAACAAACAACTAGGTAACAATCAGCTTGGTGATGGGAATAGTATTTCAAATACCAATATTAACTTTGAATGTAAATGGTCTAAGTGTCCCACTGAAAGGATGTATATTGGCAGAATGTCTTACAGAAACACAGTCCAAATATCTGCTACCTTCAAGAGACCCACTTAACTCATAAAGATCCTTATAGACTCATGGCAAAAAGATGGGAAAAATATTTCACACAAATGGAAACCAAAAATGAGCAGAAGTAGCTTTTCTTCTATCAGATAAAATAGATTTTAAATCAATAACAGTAAAAAAAAAGAAAAAGAATGTCATCATATAATAATAAAGGGTTCAATTATATATATATAATTGAAGATATAACAATCCTTAATATATGTGCACCCAACACAAGAGCTTCCAGATTAATAAAAGATCTACTACTAGACCCAAGAAAAGAGATTGACAGCAATACAATAATAGTTTGGGACCTCAACACTCCACTGACAGCACTAGACAGATCATGGAGGCAGAAAGTCAACAAATAAACACTGGACTGAAACTGGACTCTAACAGATATTTACAGAATATTCTACAAAAAAATTCAAAATATACATTCTTCTCATCAGCACATGGAATCTTTCCAAGATAGACCATATGAGAGGCCACAAAATAAGCCTAAATAAATACAAAAAATTCCAAATCATACAAGTACCTTCTCAGACCACAGGACAATAAAACTAGAAATCAACGGCAAGGGAAACTCTCAAACCTATAAAAATACATGGAAATTAATCTGATCCCAAATAATCTTTGGATAAATGATAGAATCAAGAAGAAAATTTAAAAATTTTTCAAACAAATGATAACAGTAACCCAAGTTATTAAAATCTCTGGGATACAGGAAAAGCAGTGCTAAGACAATAGTTTATATTGCCAAATGTCTACATCAGAAAGAAAAATCACAAACCAACAACCTAACATAATACCTTAGGCAACTGGAAAACCAAGAACAAACCAAACCCAAAGGCGGCAGCAGAAAACAAATAAAGATCAGAGCGGATCTAAATGAAATTGAACCCCTGCCAAATACAAATGATCAATAAAAAGAAAAATTTGTTTTCGAAAAGATAAACAAAATTGATAGTTAGCTAAATTAACCAAGAAAAGAGAGAAGATTCAAATAAGCTCAATCATAAATGAAAAGGGAAACATTACTACTGATACCATGGAAATACAAAAGATCATCTGAGACTACTATGAACACCTCTATGTGCACAAACCAGAAAATCTAGAGGAAATGGATAAACTCTTGGAAACATACAACACTCCAAGCTTGAATCAGGAAGAAATAGAAACTCTGAACAGACTAATTATAAGTAGTGAGATTGAATCAGTGATAAAAATATCCAAACAAAAAAATACGCCCAGGACCAGACAGATTCACAGCCAACTTCTACTAAACATTTGAAGAACTGGTAGCAATTCTACTGAAACTATTACTAGAGCTTGAGAAGTAGGGAATCCTCCCTAACTCATTCTGTGAAGCTAATATCACCCTGATACCAAAGCCAGAGAAGGACATAACAATAGCAAAAATAACTACAGACCAATATCCCTCATGAACACAAAAATCTAGCCAACCAAATCTAACAGTACATCAATAATTCACCAAGATCAAGGGGGTTTTATCCCAGGGATCCAAGGATGGTTCAACGTAGAGAAATCAATAAATGTGATTAACCACATAAGTAATTTTTTAAAAAATATGATCATTTCAATAGATGCAGAAAAAGCACCTTATCACATTCAGCATCCTTTCATGATAAATATCCTTAACAAACTAGGCATCAAAGGAACATACCTAAAAATAATAAAAGCCATATATGTCAAGCCCACAGTAAACATCACACTGAATGGGGAAAAGTTGAAAACACTGCCCCTGAGAACTGGAACAAGACAAGGATGCCCACTTTCACTACTTTTATTCAATGTAGTACTGGAAGTCCTAGCCAGAACAGTCAGGCAAAAGAAAGAAATGAAGGGCATCCAAATTGGAAAAAATAATGTCAAAGTATCTGTTTGCTGATATCATCTTCTATCTTAAAAACCCTGAACACCCCTCGAAAAGCCTCCTAGATTTGATAAATGAATTCACTAAAGTCTCAGATTACAAAATTAACATACACAAATCAGTAGCTCTGCTATACACAAATAATGACCAAGGTGAAAATCAGATCAAATCAATTCCATTTACAATAGCTGCAAAAAAACCCCTAGGAATATACTTAACCAAGGAGCTGAAAAATCTCTACAAGGAGAACTACAAGACACTGATGAAAGAAATCATAGGTGACACAAACAAATGGAAAAACATTCCATGCTCATGGATTGGAAAAATCAATACTGTGAAAATGACCATACTGCCCAAAGCAATCTACATATTCAATGCAATTCCTATCAAATCACCAATATCATCATGCACAGAATTAGAAAAAAATCTTAAAATTCATATGGAACCAAAAAAGAGCCTAAATAGCCAAAGCAATCCTAAGCAAAAAGAACCAAGCCAGAGACATCACATTACCTAACTTCAAATTATACTACAAGGCTATAGTAGCCAAAACAGCATGGTACTGGTATAAAAGTAGATACATAGACCAATATAACAGAATAGAGAACCCAGAAATAAAGCCAAATACTTACAAAACAGCTGATCTTTGACAAAGCAGACAAAAGCATGCACTGGGGAAAGCACACTCTTTTCAATAAATGATGCTGAGAATATTGGACAGCCACATGCAGAAGAATGAAACTGGACCCTTAACTCTTACCATATACAAAAATTAACTCAGGATGGATTAAATACTTACATATAAGACCTGAAACTATAAAAATTCTAGAAGAAAACCTAGGGAAAGCTTTTCTGGACATTGGCCTAGAAAAGTAATTTATCAGTAAGGCCTCAAAAGCAAATGCAGCAAAAACAAAAATAAATAAATGGGACTTCATTAAACTAAAGAAGCTTCTGCACAGCTAAAGAAATAACAGAGTAAACAGAAAACCTGCAGAATAGGAAAAAATATTTGCAAGCTATACATCCAACAAAAGGCTAACATCCAGAATATGCAAGGAAATCAAATCAGAAAGAAAAAGACAAATAATCCCATTAAAAAGTAGGGAAACAACATAAATAAACACTTCGCAAAAGAAAATATACAAATGGCCAACAAACATATAAAAAATGCTCAACATTATTAATCATCAAGGGAATGCAAATTAAAACACAAAATGAGATACCACCTTACCCCAATCAGAATGGCCATTTTTAAAACATAATAAACAGTAGATATTGGTGTATATGCAGTAAAAAGGGAATGCTTGTACACTGTTGGTGAGAATGTAAATCAGTACAACCTCTATGGAAAACAGTATGGAGATTTCTCAAAGAACTAAAGTAAGTCTACCATTTGATCTAGGAATCCCACTACTAGGTATCCACCCAAAGGAAAAGAAGTCATTATATTAAAAAGATACCTGCACTCATGTTTATCATAGCACAATTCACAATTATAAAGACATGGAATCAACCTAATTGCCAATCAACAGATGAGTGGATAATGAAAATGTGGCATATCTACACTATGGAATACTACCCAGTCATGATAAAGAATGAAATAATATCTTGTGCAGCAACTGGGATGAAACTGGAGGCCATTATACTAAGTGACACAACTCGGGAATGGAAAACCAAATACCACATGTCCTCACTTATAAGTAGGAGCTAAGCTATGGGTATGCAAAGGCACAACTACAGCTGTCTTTCTCATTAATGATATCTAATTCTCTTTGGTCTTTGTTGAACTATTTTGTGGATATTTATATTTTACTGAAGGTACTTTAAATTCTTTTGGTCATAGGAAGTGTTTAAAGTCAATGGGAATGGATAAACAACTATGTGTTTCCTGAAGTATGCTTATTTCTACCATTACTTAAAATTTTCAGGTTTTTTAGGGCCTTACCAATTGTGGTTTCTCTCATAGTAAGACTCTTGTAAGTACTTTGGGGAGCTTTTATTGGGTGCCCCCAAGAACATGGAGAAATGAGGGGGACAAATTGACCTCTGAAATCAACATGTAGGTCAAGTAGATCTATAAATTCACCTGAAATGAGATGGTTCTAAGACCATAATTACTGTTGTACTGTATTATTATATGTAGATAAAGACCATATCAATAAGAAAAAGGTGCAGCCAATTGAATAAGCAAAGAAAAAAGAGATTAAAGAAGACATATGTTAGCTGTATCCACCCAATCATGCTCAAGAGAGAGCTGAGCCAATGCATTTCTAATACTTTGACCTATTATGGAGAGCATCCCAATGTGTTGGATATATTGGGCTACCCTGACACCTTAGGCATCAGGGTTTGATTGATTTTATTTCCTTTGTTATAATTTTAAGCTTATTAGGTAAATCTTCTGTATTAGGCCATTCTTGCATTGCTATAAAGAAATATCTGAGACTGGGTAATATATAAATAAAAAATATTTAGTTGGCTCACAGTTCTGCAGACTTTACAGGAAACAGTGGCATCTGCTTCTGGGGAAGCCTCAGGAAGCTTTCAATAATGGCAGAAGGTAAAAGGGGAGCAGGTGCATCATATGGCAAAAGCAGGAGCAAGAGAGAGAAGAGGTGGAGGTGCCACACACATTTAAACAACCATATATTGTGAGAATTTAAAGTACCTTCAGTAAAATATAAATATCCACAAAATAGTTCAACAAAGACCAAAGAGAATTAGATATCATTAATGAGAAAGACAGCTGTAGTTGTGCCGGAAACTAAAGATGAGATTATTACTGTAATCAAGTTTTAAATTCAGCAATATGCATCTTGATAGCCAAGATAGAAAGGTAAAGTGGCATCAAGTTGTACCTCCCAAAAGAGAATATAAATATTCTTTGGGAATAATTCCCAAAGTCTGGTTATGTTATTTGAGTTGCTCCTTTGTTCTTTTGTAAACAATATCACTGCTCTTCCTAGTCAAAAAGGACACTACTGACCCAAGATTGGTAGACTGAGGCATTTTATTGCTTGATCTGAGCCAGTCATGTTGTCATGACTGGCCCTCAAGAATATTCATTCATGACCAAGGTTGCAAGTACTATCTGTGGGACTTTTGAAGACAAAATTACCTAACTGGTCCCCAAAAAGATAAAAACATTAGTCATGGCTTTGTTAGACCCGAGGTGAGCAAACCACTGAGTTCGCTGGCCATTAACTCACCTAAGCTCTACAGCAGTGAATCTCAGTTGTATATACTACCCAAGCAGACTCCACAGTTCTTAGGAGCCCACAGACAGTGAGTTTAGGAAAGCCCAGAGTTAAATGTAATGATCACTATTCAGGTGATGCGTACAGTAAAAGCCATGACTTCACACAATATATGCATGTAAGAAACCTGTACTTATGCCACCTAATAAAATATATATAAATTGATATATATATACATATATATAAATTTAAACCAAAATAAATAAATAAAGTAAATGGATAGTTGAATACCAATGTGGAAGTTTCATTCACTTAACAAATGTTCCTGAAGAAACAACATACTAATACCTTTTTTAGGAATTATTTTCCAAATATTCAAACACATTCCAATAATGGAGTACCTTTTTTTTCATAATGAATTAGTCAGAATCCCACCCCGGGAAACAGATGGCACATTCAAAAGGAAAATTTAATATTAAAAAGGGACTCTGTATAATGCTTTAGGGAAAAGTAAGGAAAGCCAATAAGGGAAGGTGAAACATGGAGACCGGGAGCCTTTACCACCTCCCTTACCTGAAGGGACAAGGGAGAGAGGAATAACCAGAACCTGTAGAGAACATTAGAGGAGAGCTACCAAAGAGGAGCTGAGGCCTTCAGTGGAGGAACAAAGGCAATTCCAAACCACATCAGAAAGGGAGTCTAGCATAAATGCCTCAATCTCTCTTTTCTCCCAACTTCCTGTCAGTACCTACCATTGACTAAACCAATCAAAAGTCTGAAGAAAAGAGAGTCCATTGATGTAGCCAATAAAGCTCAGCCTCCCAGGGAACAAAACAGGGTCCCAAAGGGATCTAGACAACAAAAGAATGATATTGAGAATTCACATCTAAAACATTTCATTTCTTCACTGTATATATTAAAGGCAGAAAACAATATTCTGTGACATACATTTTACATAATTAACAACATAAATCTATAACCTTCAGCAGAGTACCTGCAATCATTCATCAACATCAATTATATATCTTAGACATCCACTATGTATTCACCACTAGTTACCATATACAGCCTTACTATCATCTAAAGTATTTCTCAAGTCTGGGAAAAGCATAGTCAGTGTAGCAACTGCAGAAAAACAGAAATCAAGGCGCAGGTCCTACCCTAAGGCTTAAGGTCTCACAAAGAAATATTTATTCTTTTCTTGGAACATATGGAACAAATGAACTGTCTGGAGAAAAAAAATGTTTTCCAGTCTTCGTTTCTTAAAAGGAATACTGAGGTAGGGGAACAAGCCTTGTCTGGTGTTATCACAAGGCCAGGACAGAAAAAAAATACATATTTCTTCCTATACAGTTATGAAACCAGAAGTGAATAGAACATATCTTTTCCAAAAAAATGGAGCTAAGGTAACCATGAAATAACTTATCCAAAATAAGTAAATGTCAGGAACAAGACACTGAGCTACCAAGGGGGTAGAAAACCAGGAAAGTTAAGAGTAAGTTTAAGGTGAAAAAGCAAGAAGTAGTCTGGACTAATTTCAGAGAAAGGGTCATCACTAGTAGCTATTTTTTTTTAATAGCTGGGATAGAATTACATAGATAGGACAGAGTCATGAAAGGGCTTGGGACAAGATAGACAAAAATAAGTGCTACACAAATGTCTGTATCAAAGCTTTTGAGCCTTCTGGTGTCACCTTTTGCCTTAAATACAAATCCTCTGGGATGGTAAACACTCTTCAGTATTTCCAGGCTATCCTAGGGTGAAGATTTGTGTGCAGATTCGCATTACTCTACTCAACTATTATTATTCCTCCTCCTAGCATCTCATATCCCTATGCCTTAGGGCTGGGGCTTCAGTTGGTCTCTGAGCACAGTGTAACACTACTGGGATACACAGACTCTCTTCTTTCTTGCACAGAGTACCTCTGGCACAAAGTTGTTATATATAAAAGGGTGGTTTTGCCCTTTTCTGTCAAATCTCTCATTCCAGATCTTGTCCTGAGAACCTAACCCTTTTCATGAGCAACAACAAAAAAGACCCATCAAGGTATTTATATAAACAAAATTACTTTCTTTATACAATGAGCAACACAAAGAACTAGTACAAGTTTTGCAACTGCAGCCTTTCTTTAATTTGCTAATTAACAATTTGAGCAGGGCTCCCTGTCCCGCCAAAAGCTCTGCAAGCAGAAAGTGGGCAACTCAAAAAATGTACTGTCTCCCCTAGACAGAATATATGAGAATAGCCTTGGGGACTTTTCATCTTCCTGTTACGTGGGGGACAAGAATTCTCTGCCCTTCACATCCTCTCCAAACCTAGGACTGTCTTTACACATGTGACCACAGCCTTCTTTCCTCCTGTTGCTTTGCAGAGACGACTGTGTCAGACACAAAGTTGGAGGTGAGGGCTAATGTGGCCATTGAGATTCCTTAAGTTGCAAGTGACAAAAAACTTCCTCAAAATGCAACTTTATTGGTTCACGTAAAAGGTGAAGTCTAAATTTTATTTTAGGAATGATTAGAGCTATGGGTTCAAATTATGTCATGAGGGCTTGATCTCAGTCTGTATCTCTGATCATTGCTTAGCTTCACATTGTCTCTATTCTCAGGCAGATCTCCCCTGGGATTGCCAAGATGGCTACAAGCAGCTGCAAGTTACTACCTGTCATCAGCATTCCTACCAGAAACAGCACACTTTTATGCCCAGTAGATCAAGAAAAGTCCAAAAATTGAGATTCTAGCTATTTTGGCCTGGCTTGGGTCATATATCTATCACTAAACCAATTAGTCACTGAGGCCATGAGAATGTGATGCTATGACTGATTGTAACTGGTTCACAAATTCTCCCCGGGGGCTGTTCTGCTGTTATCAGAAGAAGAAGGGATAGATACTGAGCAGTCAAAAAATTGTAAGATATATAATAAAAGGAGAAGGAAAAGAGGATTAATAATCTCAGGCTTTTGAAGTCACTACATCTTGTTCAATGCAGAAATGCTTTATTCTGCAACCCAAATAGGTAGACTCCCAGCAATCTCTCTAAAATTACAACGACAAGGTTTTCTATAACTCGTGGTGCTCCCTTTTATTTGAAATTATAAAATCCTTTCTTATGTTGAGCCAATATGCTCCCTCATGACACATCCACACATTGGTCACAGTGCCATCAGGAACAAACAAAGCAAACTTAATTTTTCCACATATCAGACCTTAAAATTTTCAAAGATAATTATCACATGTGTCCAGAAATCTTTATTCCTTAAAATATATCTGGTTCCTTCACTTTTTGGCTCATCTCACATGTTTTCCAGACTCATCAGTAAATTAAAAATTATACAGCACTTTACATTTGATAAAGTTAATTATTTATTTTCAATCCTCAAAATCCTGTTAGATATTGATATTATTACCCCCATTGTACAGATAAGGAAGCTGCGTCTCACAGAGACTAATTGTCTAAGGTCACATAAGTGCTAAACAGCAGGGGCAAAACTTGAATTAAAGTCTTCTGACTTCAAATTTCACTTGCTCTACGAAACACTGAAACCTGGAAATCCTACTCTGGATGAGTCTCAGGTTTTCTATGTCCTGCTTAAAGTACAGTTCCCAGAAGCTAATACAGTATTTTAACATGTGACTTACTTAATTTTCCCAAAAGTGTTCTTAGTATGTTCTACTTCCCAGGTAGTATGCATTTCAAAGGAGTCATCAATGCCTTAGCTGAATGTTTTCCAAATTGTGATTTGTGGAGATGCTTCAGCCAGAGAAGCTCTGTTTTCATCTGTTTTCTACATTGGGTTTCCATACAAGATTTCATTTGACAAATCAAACCATTTATCTGGTTAAAAATAAGTTTTAAAAGTACTGCCTAGACCAAAGGAATGATTAACAATTGATGTTTCTTATGCTAGGAAAGACCAATAGAAAAAATATTTCAGGATCTTTCCATGCCCCTTAAATCCCAGATTTCTTCCCTTTTCTCATTGGTCTGTTGCTGCTTCAGCATGCCTGTTGACTCACTCTTTATGGGGTATGACTGTGACACAGAGCAAGCAACTCGGAGATGAGTCCATTTACAGAGCAAACACGGTCCTTACTGAAATCTCTCATTGAAATCTCCCAATTTCTCAGAGAAGTTGATTGTGCTAAAACCTGAGTGAATAAACCAGTGTTTAACTAATGATGTCTTTATGCTTGTACACTACTTTTTCAGGACATATACTTCTGTTTACTGATTTTTTTTTTTTTGAGATGGAGTTCCGCCTCCTGGGTTTAAGCAATTCTCTGCCTCAGCCTCCTGAGTAGCTGGGATTACAGGCGCCCACCACCATGCCCAGCTAGTTTTTTTTTGTTTTTTTTTTGTATTTTTAGTACAGACGGGGTTTCACCATCTTGACCAGATTGATCTTGAACTCCTGACCTAGGGATCCACCCACCTCAGCCTCCCAAAGTGCTGGGATTACAGGCATGAGCCACCGCGCCCAGCCTGTTTACTGATTATTTCTATATGAAAAAAGTCCCTACCTAGCCAGCTTTGAGAATTGCTGTGTTACTTCCTCACTTTGGGCTTCAAACTGCTTTTTCCTGGTTTCCCTTTTTAAAAAAAAAAAAAAAATACCATTTACTTTTCTATTACACTGAAGAATAGTTTATATGATTTGCTCTTAAAACTCTGGCCAGCCAGGCATGGTGGCTCACGCCTGTAATCCCAGCACTTTGGGAGGCCGAGGCAGGTGGATCATGAGGTCAGGAGTTCGAGACCAGCCTGCCCAACATGGTGAAACCCTGTCTCTACTAAAAATACAAAAATTAGCCGGCATGGTGGCGTGCGCCTGTAATCCCAGCTACTCAGGAGGCTGAGGCAGGAGAATCGCTTGAACCCGGGAGGCAGAGGTTGCAGTGAGCTGAGATGGCGCCATTGCACTCCAGCCTAGGTGACAGGGCAAGACTACGTCTCAAAAAAAAAAACAAAAACAAACAAACAAACAAACAAAAAACCTCTGTCCAAGGTGGAGACCATAAGGTAGTTGTTACCAAGCTAGGAGGGAGGTCCAGTTTCAGGAGAAGAACTAGAACAAACTTCTTGAAAGCTCTATCCATGATCTGCACCCTTCACTGCTTGTACACTAAAAAAAAGAAGAAAAGAGTGGGAGAAATAAAGCAAAGAAAGCCCGAGAAGAAGAGCAAAAGAAAGTGGGGTTCTAAGGGATAATAAACATGAAATCCAGCACTCAGACCAATTTATAATGTAAAACATATTTATATTGACAAAGCACTATAACCAAAGGTTTACACACATGAATGAGCATATGTAACAAATTGGGACATTTTTCTCAAATATGCCAAGATTTATGAAGTCTGGCAACAATCCCTTTGCTTTTTCTTATAACAACAGCTGCTAATTCCCTCTGTGACTTCTAACTGCCCAATTTTGTGAAAGTTGGATCAGTTTAAATTTAGAAGATACTCTATTCCAAGAAATAAAGTTCAAAAATGGAGTCATCTTTAAGTTAAATATGTCCAGGCCAAAATGTTGTCTTTCTGCTTCTGTTTCTTCTGCATTTCCTTCAGAAATGGAGAAGTACCAGTTCACTCTAGGTTTTAGCACCAGCTTTGAAATAAGTTGCTGTCTGAACTACAGCAAGCTACTCCTCCCTTCTCTCAGTCTTCTCCTGTGTAAAATAGGTAAATAAAACTAGATAATTTGCAAAGGTCAACCCAATGCTCCCATTATTTGTTCTATTCTTTTTTTAAAAAAAAATGTAGACTTTTAATAACTGCTTTTATCACCAGGTTAAGCCATGCAGTTACAAAGTAGTTAGAAATTTCTGAAGGATATTATAGTTAAAAAAAAAAAAGCTGATTCTTACACATATATTATCTAGCACTTCATGGGGACACTATTGTTCAAAAGGCCCTGGCCAAATAACTCCCAAATGAAACACTCAACCCAAGGTTGGTTTCAGCCCACTGTTAGTGAAGCTGGGTGCAGAATGCAAAGCCTCTAAAAGAAGAGGATACAAAGTCAGGTGAGTAGGGGCCATTGGCAATGCTCAGAGCCAGCCAGACTCCAAACAGGGAGCCCAAGTGGTTTTTTTCTGGGACACTCTACTTGAATTATTGTTTAATTAGTCAACCATAGATCTTCAAAAGAGAACAATTAGTTAACATGATAAAAAGGTTACTGCATTCTTTGGACTATGTGTCATAATTATAACAGCGAATTCTGACAGTTTTAACGAAAATAGCCTCCACCGTTTTGCAGGTATGAAGATAACGTAATTATCCACAGGGCTTTTAATGTTTGCTGGACAACAATACGTGAATGATAAGCTACAAATGAAACTTTTATGATATAAAAATACTGTTTTTTTTCATTTATTATTTTTATAGGCATTCACTGAGTCAAGGTTAGGCTTGTTAAGTGATTAAAGGCAATTTTATTACAGCAGCATGTACTTATTCTATTCTAAAAGAATAAAATTCATAAACAGAAACAGCTTTTATATTTGTTTGCAATCTGCAAAATTGAGTTATTTTGCTGATATAAAATACTAAGAACTCACTTGAGGACCATGCCACCTTCTGAAAAGGCCACACACCTTCTTCTTAAATGTGTTAAAGTTACAGCGTGTCCCAGACTCATCCAGAGCAAAATAAGTAAGCAACTGACTGCTCTTGACTGTCCCTTCCCCAGCACTAGCACTGATTGTGCTGGGAAAAGCCACAGAGCAAGGCTGCACAGCCATATGGAGGAGGCTTTTTATTTAAAGGCAAAATACCAAAATAGCTCTCTGGTGTAGGTGATTTCTACTTTCACACTCAGCTTGTATATTAATTTCTTTCTCCTTAACGGGCTGATTTGGATTGACTTGTTGAGAATGGTATCCATTAGTAATGAGTCAGGAGAGAAAGGGATTTCTGTGGTTACATGTAAACTTGTGGTAGGTCTGCAGAAGTTACACGTGAAGAGGTTAGTGAGGAAGTCAGCCATGATCCATCTATGTGAAGGTCACACCAGCTTCACTGTACACTTTGAAGACTTTTTCAATGGCATTGACATAGGCAGCTGTTCTCAGGTCCAATCCCAGGTTATACTTCATGGCTGTGTGCATAATTTGCCTGGCAGAACGCTCCATTGTGTATGCCAAGGCAGAGTGCACAATGTCTTTCTCAGATGCACCCGATATACTGTCTTGGAACTCTGCCGTGGGTACAATGGGAATAGTTCCACCATGCTTTCCAAATTTTCTTTCTAAACTCTCTTGAACAGACAGGAGCAAGTGGTAGTTAGAATCCCTTTCATATTTGAAGGTCAAACGGCCATAGCTGACATGATTTAGATTCTTCAGCCACTCAAAGTAAGATACTGTCACTCCTCCAGCATTCAAGTAGAGATCTGGAATAACCAAAATGTTTCTCTCCAGGAAGATCTTATCAGCTTCTGGAGTTGTTGGCCCATTGGCACCTTCAGCAATGATCTTGGCTTTGACTCTGGGTGCGTTGGATTTGGTCAACTGCTTCTCAGTGGCAGCTGGGATCAGTATGTCACAGTCGACCTCCAAGATGCTTCCTTCATAGGGCTTTGCCTTGGGGAAGCCCAGAATGGACCCATGTTGCAATTTGAAGTCTTCCAGTTCCTTTGGGTCAATACCATCTGGATTCCATATACTCCCATCAGACTCACCAACAGCAATACATTTAGCACCAAAACGATGTAAATATCTCATAGAGTGTAGGCCCACATTACCAAATCCCTGAACAACAAATGTTTTATCTCTAAACCCTGGTGTCATTCCTAAAATGCTCATGTAAGAAGCTTCATTGATGAAGTTTTCAATCCCATGGAAGACACCACGGCCAGTAGCAGAGATGCGTCCATGGATTCCCCCTTGGCTGATGGGTTTACCAGTAACACAGGCGTGTGCATTAATATCATAGTGCCCTATGGTGCTGGCATAGGTATCAGCAATCCAGGACATCTCCCGCTCACCTGTGTTCATGTCTGGAGCAGGCACATCAACGCCAGGACCAATAAAGCCCTTCTTTGCTAGCTCCATGGTGAACCTCCTTGTGATCTTTTCCAATTCATTTTCGGTATAGTTCTTGGGATTGATCTTAACACCAGCTTTAGCACCCCCAAACGGCACATCAACCACTGCACACTTGTATGTCATCAGAGAAGCCAAAGCTTTTACTTCATCTACACTCACATCAGTGCTGTAACGGATACCTCCCTTGCAGGGCGTGCGGTGCTGGCTGTGCTGGGCCCGGTAGCCTTCGATGACCTCCCAGGAGCCGTCGTCGCGCCGGATGGGGAAGGAGAGACTCAGCACATGGTTGCAGGGCTTGATGATCCGCAGGATGCCGCGCACCCGGTTCCGCTTCTGCTCCTCGCTTTCCTGGGTCCTCAGGTCCTTCACCAACTTGTCCTCCACGATGCTGGCGCCGCGATCGAAGAAGCCCTCCACCATCTTGAAGAAGTTGGGGTCGTCCTCGCGGTCGGCCACCAACTCGCTGTAGTGGCGCCGGGCGGCCAATGCGAGCCCCGGCTGCGAGGCGGCGGCGGGCTGTCCGCGGCCCCGGCCCAGCAACGCGGCCGAGTGGTTGGCCGCGGAGCCCAGGGCAGCGGGCCCGGCCCGGGACGGCAGCAGCGCTTTGGCCAGGTAGCGGTACATCGCGGCAGGCGGAGGAGGGGTGCGTGACGGTCGCGGAACAGGTGCGCTTTCTCAGACTCCCCGCGACTAGGAAGGAAGGGTCCGGCGCGGGTTGCCCTTTTAAGCCGCAGCTTCCTGCCTGCCCGGCTGTCCCCTCCCCTTGGGCGCCACCTAACGGGGAGGACGGACTTTGGGGGCAGGGCGCCAACCAGGGCGCCGGACCTCCGGGTCCGGAGGTCCGGGGCGCCGGACCCGCCGCGGCCTCGCCGGGCCTGGCTGGCCTGTTTGTTCTATACTTCTAATGTTTAATAATTACCCAGAGCTTTGGATATATGCAATTCTGCAAAATAAATCAAAAGGAGTCAGAAGGCAATTTTATTTCCTAATAGACCCTTAGTTAGAATTTAACTTAAAAGCCATTTTTAACAAATGTAAACAATATCTCCCCTCCTCTCCATCAAAGTCTGACGGAGACAAATGAAAAGATTTTTTAGAAGAATAGGACTATATCAAGACCAAAAAAAAAAAAAAAAGCTAAGAAAGGGTACCATCAACAATCTTTACAGAACTTCTGGAAAGTAAAAAGCAAATGGTACTGGCCTGGGGAATAACCAAAGAAAATGAAACCTCAGCCCCGGATGGCAAAGGTAAGTGCAATTCTTCCAAAGAGAGCCCTGAGTGAAATTTTAAACAGGAGTGAACAAAACAAAAAGCAGAGATTGGGCCCTAGAGTACTCATGGCCTTATTTCATTTAATAAGTTGCATCCACAAGCAGTGGACCAGGAGGATCCTGCCCCCTCTCAGATAAAAAAGAGCAATTGGCAATGGCAGCTTTTGCCCCTTGGACAATGGTTCTCAAACTTGAGTATGCAACAGAATCACCTGAAGCACTTATTAAAACACAAATTTCTGAGATTCACTTGGAAAATTCCTTATTCGGCAGTCATGGAATGATTCACCTAACAACATGAAAGCATCCTAGAAGCTTTGAGTTAAACTATTAAATTATTTGCAAGAAAAACAACAATGCTGCCAAAACATACAACATAATGCATGTTAAAAATCACAGGATGTCTTATTATGAAGAACAAGGCAAAGATGCCTACATTTGCCATTTTTATTCAACATAGTATTAGAAGTTCTAATCAGAGGAATTAGGCAAGAAAGAAAAAAAAACAGAAAAAAAGTAAAATTACCTCTGTTCACGTATGGCATGACCTTATGTGTAGCAAACGCCAAATATTATACAGAGGGAGAGAGAGGGAGACAAACACATACACAGAGGTAATATACAAATTCAACAAAGTTGCTGAATACAAAATAAACACAAAAATATCAGCTACATTCCTATATGCTATGAAGTAAATATCTAAAAAGGGAACTAATAAAACAATTCAATTTACAATACTATCAAGAAGAGTAAAGTACTTAGGAATAAATTTAACCAGTGAGGCAAAAGACTTGTACATTGCAAAATACAAAACATTGCTGAAAGAAATTGAAGGAGGCATAAGTAATGAGAAGACATTCTATGTTCATGAATTAGAAAACTTACAATTATTAAAATGGATAATACTTCACAAAAGTGATCTATAGATTTAAAGCAATCCCGATCAGGATCCCAATGATGTTTTTGGTATAAATAAAAAAGTCTATTCTAAAATATATATGGAATTTCAAGGGGCTCAGAGTACTCAAAATAATTTTGAAAAAGAACAATGTTGGATGATTCAAATTTCCTGATTTCAAAACTTACAACAAACCTGAAGTAATCAAAATAGCGTGGTACCAGCATAAGGACAGACATAAACAAATGAAATAGAATAGCCCAAAAATAAACATTAAACATATAATCAGTTAAATTTTTAAAATCTTTTATTTATGTTCAGGGGTACACATGTAGGTTTGTTATATAGGTAAACTCATGACACAGAAATTTGTTGTACAGATTTTTTAGTCACCCAGGTACTAAGCCTAGTCCAATTGTTATGTTTTCTGATCTTCTTCCTCCCACCCTCCTCCCTCTGGTAGGTCCCAGTGTTTGTTGCTCCCCTCTTTGTGTCCATGAGTTCTCATCATTTAGCACCCATTTATAAGTGAGAACATGCAATATTTGGTTTTCTGTTCCTGGGTAAATATGCTAAGAATAGTGGCCTGCAGCTCCATCCATGTTCCTGCAAATAACAGAGTCTCATTCTTTTTTATGGCTGCATAGTATTCCGTGGTGTATATGTATCACATTTTCTTTGGACAATCTGTCATTGATGAGCATTTAGGTTGACTCCATGTCTTTGCTATTCTGAATAGTACTGCAATGAACATTCGTGTGCATGTGTTTTGTTTTTTTTTTAATTTCAATAGGTTTTGGGGGAACGAGTGGTGTTTGGTTACATGAATAAGTTACTTAGTCATGATTTCTGAGATTTTGGTGCACCCATCACCTGAGCAGTGCACCCTGTTCCCAACATGTAGTCTTTTATTCCTTGCCACCACCCACCCATTCCCCCAAGTCCCCAAAGTCCAGTGTATCATTCTTATGCCTTTGCATCCTCATAGCTTAGATCCCAATTATGAGTGAGAACGTACAATGTTTGGCTTTCCATTCCCGAGTTACGTCACTTAGAATAATAGTTTCCAATTCCACCCAGGTTGCTGTGAATGCCACTATTTCATTCCTTTGTATGGCTAAGTAATATTCTATGGGATATATATATATCACATTTTCTTTATCCACTCATTGATTGATGGGCATTTGGGCTGGTTCTATATTTTTGCAATTCTTTGAACTGTACAATACGATAATTGTGACACAACCTATCAAAACCTCTGGGATACAGCAAAAGCTGTGCTAAGAGGAAAGTTCATAGCACTAAATACCTACATCAAAAAGTCTGAAAGAGCACAAATAGACAATCCAAGGTCACACCTCACGGAACTGGAGAAAGAACAATCCAAACCCAAACTTAGCAGAAGAAAGGATATAAGAAAAATCGGAGAAGAACTAAATGAAATTGAAACAAACAAAAATTACAAAAGATAAATGAAACAAAAGGCTTGTTCTTTGTAAAGATAAATAAAATTGACAGATCATTAGTGAGATAACCAAGAAAAGAAGAGAGAAGATCCAAATAAGCTCAATTAGAAATAAAACAGGAGATTACAACTGATACCACAGAAATAAAAAAGATCATTTAAGGCTACTATGAACACCTTTATGAGCATAAACTAGAAAACCTAGAAAAGATGGATGAATTCCTGGAAATATACAACCCTCCTAGATTAAACTAGCAAGATACAGAATCTCTGAACAGAATCTCTGAACAAGCAGCAAAATTGAAATGGTAATCAAAAAATTGCCAACAAAAAAAAGGGACCCGAGGACAGGCCTACTCAGCCTGATTCCACCTACTAGTGCTGAACATGCCATCAGGTGGTCTGGGAATTGCCCTGCCCCATAAACCACCATTAACACCAGAGCACTCTTCCCAGGGTCCTGGGAATGAGCCCACCCAACCTGATGCTACTACCACAGCAGGCATCCACTCACACATGCCACATGCAGGCCTGGGTACTAGCCCACCCAGCCCATTGTAGTCACTGCCAACACTAGTGAGGACCAATTGCAAGGCAGAGGATTATCCTGCCACTGCTACTGCCATCACCATGCCACGCCCACTGCCAAGAGGCCTGAGGATATGGCCACTCACCCAGCCCACTTCTGCCACTGCCAACATGTGAGCAAGCTACCTGGAGCCCCAGGAATCAGCCCACCTGGACCAACTAATGCCAATGCCAGCTTATGCCACCCAGAGGCCCAGTGACAGGCATGCTCAGCCTGATGTTTTCACCAATAAAGCCTGAGCACTGGCCAACCTGATATACCTGTGACCACGAAAATGTCACAGCCTGTACTAGCAGCTGCACCCTATGCCACTGAGAAAATCACAGGCACCACTGACACTGCTTACAGCCAAAAAAATCATATGGAGACTGCAATACTGCACATACACAGAATCAAAGCACTACCCAACCAATATCATAAATACATCTTCAGGAAAAAGTTCTTCCCTACAAAAGCAAATTCAAAAATTGGAAGAAGCAACTGTTACACCAGATGCACAGACATCAGTGAATTAGCACAAGAAACATGGAAAAGCAAGGGAAAATGACACTTCCAAAGGAATATAATAATTCACCAGCAACAGATCCAATCAGAAAGAAATTAACAAAATGCTGAATAAATAATGGAAAATACAGATTTTTAAGAAGCTCAGTAAGACACACGAGAACTCCGAGGAACTATACAAAAAAATCAGAAAAACAACTTAGGATATAAATGAGAAATTTACCAGACAGATATCACTTTAAAAAGCAGCAAATAAATTCTAGAAGAATTTATGGAATGAAATACAAAATACATTTGAAAGCATAAATAATAGGCTAAATCAAGCAAAAGAAAGAATTTCAGAACTTGAAGACTGCGCTTTTGAAATAAACCAGTCAGACAAAAATGAAGAAAAAAGAATAAAAAGAATGAGAAAAGCCCATGTGAAATATGGGACACCATACAGCAACCAAATATTTTGGATTTTTAGTGTCCCAGAAAACAGAAAGAAAATAAAAGGGATAGAAAACCTATTTAATAAAATAATAGCTGAAAACATCCGAAGTCTAAAAAGAGATTTAGACATGCAGATACAGGAAGCTCAGAGATCCTCAAATAGATGTAATTCAACAGGTCTTGTCTTTTTTCCCAAAATGAATGACTAGGGACATTGGATGCCAGTTCTCCTCAGAAAGATCAAAGTTACTGGTGAGTGCATGTTCCAAATAGAAAACTGTGGGAAGAGAGCCAGGACCTGTCAAAAACTCCTAGAGGAAGAAGCTGGAGTGCAGAAACAGAAAGCAGCAAGAATCAGACAAAGTTTGACCCCCAAGGAACTCAGATCCCTGCAGAAAGTGTAGGTAGGAGTGTTTCTCTGCTTCCCCCACCCCTGTAACAGTCTGCTGACTGCCAAACCATTGGAGAGCCCCTCTGCCCTTATGGCCCTGGGCAATACTGTTGGTTGTGATTTGAGAGCTTCCTAGGGGCAGAGAACTGAAAGGTCATCTCATGCAGGCATGATTGCATGCCGCTCAGACACAAACTGAGACAGTGGGTGTCATACCAGTTGTAGCTGTGGTGCGCCACTGCCCTGCCCAAGGAATCTCTGCCTTGAGTCCCCACACCACCAGTTTCCCTGCAAACATACCCCACAACCCACTCTGATTTTGGCAAACACGGGAGACTGGTGGGTCACCAGGGAGTTATATAGGACTCCTAGAGATCTCACCCTCAGCGTGGGCCACCTCTAACGGAGGGGGGAGTGCAACCTGCCACAGAATTCTTTCTTGGGATAAAGAATACACAGGCACGGCACCAATTTCTGAAGGGAGTAGCACCAGTAGCCAGGAATGGATGCAAAGAGTCGGTCATCTCTTAACCTACTCCATCCACTCTTGCGGACACAGCAGTTTCTCCCCTGCTGGGGGCCAGCACACATTCAATTGGAGAAAGCACTCTTTTTTAAAATATTTTGATCTTTTTTAAAAAACGTTCTGGGATACATGTGCAGAATGTGCAGGTTTGTTACATAGGTATACATGTGCCATGGTGGTTTGCTGCATGTATCAACCCATCATCTAAGTTTCAAGACCCACATGCATTAGGTACTTGTACTTATGCTCTCCCTCACTTGGCCCTCCACCCCTCAACAGGCCCCAGTGTGTGATGTTTCCCTCCCTGTGTCCATGTGTTAACATTGTTCAACTCTCACTTATGAGTGAGAACATGCGGTGTTTGGTTTTCTGTTCCTGTGTTAGTTTGCTGAGAATGATGGTTTCCAGCTTCATCCATATCCCTGCAAAGGACATGAACTCATTCTTTTTTATGGCTCCATAGTATTCCATGGTGTATATATGCCACATTTTCTTTATCCAGTCTATCGTTGATGGGCATTTGGGTTGGTTCCAATTCTTTGCTATTGTAAATAGTGGTCCAATAAACATACATGTGCATGTGTCTTTATAGCAGAATGATTTATAATCCTTTGCGTATATACCCAGTAATGGGATTGCTGGGTCAAATGATATTTCTGGTTCTAGATCCTTGAGGAATCGCCACACTGTCTTCCACAATGGTTGAACTAATTTACACTCCCACCAACAGTGTAGAAGCATTCCTATTTCTCCACAGACTTGCCAGTATCTGTTGTTTCCTGACTTTTTAATGATCGCCATTCTAACTGGCGTTAGATAGCATCTCATTGTGGTTTTGATTTGTATTTCTCTAATGACCAGTGATTAGCTTTTTTTCATATGTTTCTTGGCCAAATACATGTCTTCTTTTGAGAAATGTCTGCTCATATCCTTCACCCACTTTTTGATGGGGTTGGTTTTTTTCCTTGTAAATTTGTTTAACTTCCTTGTAGATTCTGGATATTAGACATTTGTCAGATGGATAAAATTTCAGATGCAAAAAAATTTCTTCCATTCTGTAGGTTGCCTATTCACTCTGATGATAGTTTCTTTTGCTGTGCAGAAGCTCTTTAATTAGATCCCATTTGTCAATTTTGGCTTTTGTTGCCATTACTTTTGGTGTTTTGGTCATGAAGTCTTTGCCCATGCCTATGTCCTGAATGGTACTGCCTAGGTTTTCTTCTAGGGTTTTCATGGTTTTAGGTTTTAGGTTTAAGTCTTTAACCTATCTCGAGTTAATTTTTTTATAAGGTGTAAGGAAGGGGTCCAGTTTCAGTTTTCTGCATAATGCTAGCCAGTTTTCCCAACACCATTTATTAAATAGGGAATCCTTTCCCCATTGCTTGTTTTTCTCAGGTTTGTCAAAGATCAGATGGTTGTAGATGTATGGCGTTATTTCTGAGGCCTCTGTTCTGTTTCATTGGTCTATATATCTGTTTTGGTACCAGTACCATGCTGTTTTGGTTACTGTAGCCTTGTAGTATAGTGTAGCATAGTTTGAAGTCAGGTAGCGTGGTGCCCCCCACCTTTGTTCTTTTCGCTTAGGATTGTCTTTGCTATACAAGCTCTTTTTTGGTTCCATATGAAATTTAAAGTTTTTTTTTCTAATTTTGCGAATAAAGTCAATGGTAGCTTGATCGGAATAGCACTGAATCTATAAATTACTTTGAGCAGTATGGCCATTTTCACGATATTGATTCTTCCTATCCATGAGCATGGAATGTTTTTCCATTTGTTTGTGTCCTCTCTTATTTCCTTGAGAAGTGGTTTATAGTTCTCCTTGAAGAGGTCTTTCACGTCCTTTGTAGGTTGTATTCCTAGGTATTTTATTCTCTTTGTAGCAATTGTGAATGGGAGTTCACTCATGATTTGGCTCTCTGCTTGTCTATTATTGGTGTATAGGAATGCTTGTGATTTTTGCACATTGATTTTGTATCCTGAGACTTTGCTGAAGTTGCTTATCAGCTTAAGGAGTTTTTGGGCTGAGACAATGGGGTTTTCTAAGTATACAGTCATGTCATCGGCAGAGAGACAATTTGACTTCCTGAGGATTGTTCTGAATGGAAAGTTTACTGTACTGAATAGTGCACATTATGTATGCAAGTAACAAGTGACAATTCAAAGGCCCCTTATGAGATTGTTTCACCACAGCACATTCACAAATCTCCATACAAAAATGTGTTTAGTTATTCTCCATGGTCTAGATTTGCATGTGGATGTATTTTAGCTCCTGACCCAAACTCTGCATGGTAAAATTAATCCTTGGAGCTACTGAATTATAAAGCTGGAAGTTTCCAACAGAGGTCCCAGTGTTGGCCACAGCTCCAGATTTATGAACTCATGAAACGTTAACTGCATTTCTCTGTGATTTGTGTCTCATTCTGTTTTTCACATATGATGTATAAGTGAAGTACGCTATCCCCAGATGACATCAGTGCCCTGATAAACCTATAAAATGCTCTTGTGTTTAACTGTCTTCATACCCTAGCAACATAAGAATTGAATGATATGAAGATGAATGGAACATCTACAGATTTCTTAAAGCTACTGGTTTTACTGTCCTAAGCTGAAAGAGTACTAAGTGGGTCAAAGCCCAACATGAGCTAACTGGGCTCTATCAGCAGAAGTTCTGGTAGGATGACTGGGCTTCCTGGGTGATCTCCAAAAACTTTTTTTTTCTCACATTTCCTTCAGGGACAATGGTACATATTACTTTGGGGGAAAAACTGCTATCTGTATTTGCTGTAGTAAGGATTGCCAGTTAGACAACATTCCTAACAATCGTCCCTCAGACCAAGACCATGGAAGCAGATGGGCAGCACTAAATTTCATGAAGCCTTGTGCTATGGTCTGAGTGTTTGTGTCTGCCTAAAATTCATACGTTGAAACCTAATCACCAATGTGATGGTATTAGGAGGTGGGGCTGGTACTAATCTACTACTTGGATATGTCTGGGCACATATGGAAGGATTATGAATGAATGATGAATAGGATTAGTGCCTTTATAAAAGAGGTTCCAGAGAGCTGCTTTGCTTCTTCTACCATGTGAGGACACAGCTAGAAGGCTGTGAACCAGAAAGTGGGCTCTCACCAGACACTGAATCTGCTGGCACCTTGATCTTGTACTTCCTAGCTTTCAGAAATATGATAAATACATTTTTGTTGTTTATAAGCTACCCAGCTTATGGTATTTCGTTATAGCAACCCAAATGGGCTAAGAAACCTTAGTTCTAAAGACATTACATAACTGCTGTGAAAGGCTGACCCTAATAGAACAGACAGGTGATTCCTCTTGTTTGGGCAATTGGCCAATCAAATTCAAAAATGGCGAAAGGACATAAAAATGAACCAAGCATCAGAGCCATTGGAGCTTGAAACAAAGCCAGTCTCAGGTTAGATAATCCCCATGGCCAAAAAAGGGCCACAGACATAAAGAACATCGCAAGAATATGAATGGGAAAAGGGAAAAAGACAAAGAAGCATATGGAAAAAGAGGGGCTTAACAGAAAGGGAGTGGAGGATATCGGATGCCCTAGATAAGGTAAAGTAGGTGGTGCCAGTTGAAGGACCAGCCAGCAGAGCAGCATCAGGAATTCAAAAGGACAAAGCAATCTCATCTAATCTCCTTGCAATAAAATTTGTCATACAAACCAGGAGACTTTTGGTAGTAAAAAGAGGGTGCTCCTAATAATTATACCAGACCTACAGGTGCACATTGGACTTTTCTCTGGCTGACTGGTCAACCTTTCCATAAGATCCTCTATGATCAGGCTCCTAGCTACCTGCCTTCTCACACTCATCCTACTCTGAAGCAAAAGCCTGTTCTCAGGTACCTCTGCTATTCTAAGAGCAAAAGCCAACTTCTTTCCCACAGAGAAGCTCCTATTCATGTTTCATATGACCGCACACAAGAGCCCTAGCTGGTTATCTCAAGTTCCCAGGCCCACCATACTAAAGAGACTAAAGTAAAATCAACAGACCTCAACACTACCTTCTCATAAGTTATTCTAATTCAAGGACAAAAGACAAATCTATCTCATTCCGGGCCCTAAGGTTTTATCCTGTGGATCAAGCCAGAGAGTACCTTGGTCACATGCATGCTTCTAGAAAGAGCACAGTGCAGAGGATTGTTAGAAGGACCCTGTTGACCAGAAGCCTCATTGATAACATAAACAGTCAATTAACATATATTTTGTATGTTATATGTATTATATATTATGTTCTTATAATAAAGTAAGATAGAGATAAGAAAAGAAAATCATAAGGAAAAGAAAATACATATACTATTCATTGAGTGGAAGCAGATCACCATAAAGGTCTTCATCCTTGTCTTCACATGGAGGAGTCTGAGGAGGAGGAGAAAGAGGAGGGTTGGCCTTGCTGTCTTAGGGGCTGCAGAGGCTGAAAAGGTGGAGGAGGTGGAAGGGAGGCAAGAGAGGCAGGTACACAGAGTGATTTTACTGAAAAAAATTTGCATATAAGTGGACCTGTGCTGTTCAAACTTGTGTTGTTCAAGGGTCAACTGTACTTAGTAGATGTGCAATACATACCTGTCAGCTGCTTTATGGGTATGTTGGCTACAGCAGGACTTTATCTCACTTCAAATACTTTGCAAAAGACACCACGGGGTGTGTCAGACTATACATCTTCCTTTAGACAACTCCCATTAATGGTGAGAGATGCATTTAATGAATGAAAATGAACTCATAAATAGAACATTTAAAAGAATATATTAGAAACATCACAGAGCTAAAAACCTCCAGAGCAAGGAAGGGAAGCAGTGCACAAATTCAGCCCTCAAACAGCAAAAGCTTCACAGTCCAGTGCTAGTAAAAATTGGTCAGAGACGCTAGGATAATAGGAATTATCAGGCCTGTGTCAAGGTTATCAAAACATACCATCTTTTCCAAGAAAGCACTGGAAATCCAAGTCTCCACCAGCCTATGCCCATGGAAATCATTCTGCCTGCAGAAATTGTTCCACCAGAGAACAAGCTAGCACAAGTCCAAGTTGCTCCTTCGAGCAAAGTGTAAAGTCAAAAATGACTTCTCCAGGCCTATGACTCATTAGTGTTCCGTGATTTAAACATTTTCTTTTTTCAATCACCTCCTTACCCAATCCCCAAAGAGAGGAAAAATTTAAACTTTAGACCTTCAAAGCAAGTCAAATGATAGGTTAGTCTAACTGAACAAACGAGGTGATTCAGTCTTCCAAAGTGGCAGAGGGGGGAAATTTATTGCTTGTCTCACGCATCCTTCAATATTACCTGCAAAGCAAGCAGATTTAAAGTAACCTTAGCTTGGTGCTGAGGATTTTTTGGCCCAACTCCAAAGCTACTTCCATTATATACATTTTGCACATACACATACACATATATACAGAGACAAATGTCTTTGCCATACCAAGATCATTCAGTATCAAGACAATTAAATCCTCTCTAAAATAAAGCCCCATTTTTGACTAATTAAATAATGTCTAAACACACTGAACAGTGCCAATGCTTTAGAAATGCTTGTTCACTGTTCTAGCACTCCTTAACAAAAAGATAGTTGTCAACAAGGAGAAGTAATTTGCATCATCAGGTTAAAACCCTTCCTCTCTCCTCCAGCCCTGCTATCACTTACACACCCACACCAACCACCACCACAAACTTAGATCTAGACAGTTTTGGAAAGGCGATTTTAAAGTCTATCTAAGAGTTTATTTTTTTTGCAGCCTTTGGCATTTTAGCTTTAAAGTGCTTCTCTCTCATTTTCCAGCAGTCTCTGAGCCAGTCAGTTCCCATTCCATAATTCCACAGGGCGGCATCATTATGCATGGCTTATAGTACTTTAGGGAAAAGGATGGAATGTAAACATTTCCATCCAAGCACACATTATCAAACTGAGCAGGCAGTGTAGGTGGGTGATGTACAACCTTAGACATGACATCGGTATTTAAGGCAGGAATTTCTCCCACAAAATATGGAATGGAAGGAGGAAGACAAGGAACTGTATAAATATCACACAAATCCAAGGCTGGTTGAAGTCTCACTGCTGGTGCCACCCTGCTAGTGTTAAATTTTCACAAGATAAAAGTATATTCGTCCCCCTTATACACAGTTTTGCTTTCTGTGGTCTCTCTTGGGCAACCTCAATTTGAAAATAGGTGAGCACAGAACAGTAAGATATTCTGAGAGAGAGAGAAAGAGACCACAGTCACATAACCTTGATTACAGTATATTTTTATAATTGTTCTATTTTATTGATTCATTATTGTTGTTAATCTCTTCTTGTGCCTAATTTATAAATTAAACCTTATCACAGGTACATGTGTACAAGTATATATAGAATATATATAGTATATGTAGGATTCAGTACATCCATACTTTCAGGCATTGACTGGGAATCTTGGATCATATCGCCCACAGTTAAGGGGGAACTACTGTAACTCCCTTCAAACAAATTTTTGAAGTCCAGGAAGGAGGCCTCTCTGCCTACCTAATGCCAATACAAGTAGGATTAGTCCATTCTCTTTCTATGACTTGATGATCTTAATATTCTATGGCTATAGTCTAGACAGGTTGATTCAACATATATTGCCTACAATGAAGAATATCAATAATGCATTCTACTGTTCAGGTTTTCAATGAATTCAAGTAAAATGAGAATACCTGGACAAACATAAAAACTGAATCTCAGCCACCAATTCTCTCCTACCCCACTACTCAAGCAATTTTAGTCCTTCACTATTTTATTAATGTCACAATTAGTCATAAAATGCCCCATAAATACCATCTTCATTCTTACCTCTGTGCCTTATTAACTGTTTCATGAGTCTCCTTTTCAAAAGTCCATCTTACTCTAGTGTTTAGCTCATCTCACCTTCTCCATGAAGTCTTTCACTACTCTTCAATAAACAATAATCCCTCATTTCCTGAACTTCTAGAGCAGTGGTTTTCAAACTTCAGCATGATCAGAATCTCCTAGAGAGCTTGTTAAAACAAAAATTACTGGGACCCTCTGCCAGAGTTTCTGATTCAGTAAATCTGGGGTGGGGCCATAAAATTTGCATTTCTAACAAGTTCTCAGGCAATGCTGATGCTGCTGGCCTAGGAACCACACTTTAAAAACCAAAAATCTACAGTATTTATTTTTAGCATATCTAGCTCTTGATTATAGATTATCATTTGTTATTCTTCAGTTGCTTTATGAATACATGTTTGTATCAGATAAGACTTTATGCTACGAAAAAACAGAAAATCCAGTGCAAACTGACTTAAACAAAAAGGGGATTTATTTTCTCACTTAACTGAAACATGCAGATACTAGTTGATGTAGCAGCTCAATGATATCTTCCGGGACTCAATATCCTTATATCCTTCTACTCCACTATCCTCAGTGTCAACTTTGTCCTAAGACTGGTACATCTCTTGACAACCATATAACTGCCAGCCACAATCAAGACTACATTATTACAACATCCAAAGAGACACACAGAACTTCTCACCAGCATTCCAAATAAGAGTACTGAAATTCCCCCTGACTGGGTGGCCTGAAGCAAGTAACCTGTTAAGGAGAGGGGGGAATACCAGAAAGAAAGTCTGAATATGGTTAGAAAGAGGGTTAGAAAATGGATCCTGGAAAAACACCCTATATAAGCCTACTACCACACAACTCAACAAAAGTATAACATCAACTAGGGTAGTGACAGTATCATCTACCTCCCTTACGTTACAGAGGGAGCACTCAATAAACACTGGATGATTCATTGCTTTTTTTAAGAAAAAATTCTACCAATTGATTTAGATGCAGCCTTATAATATAGACTAGCTATCTATATATGTATCAGCTAACTGATTAAATTTCATTTCCATTTGAATTTCATGCAGAAAATGTTGATAAGAGCTTTCTGTGTTTTTCTTGTATACATTTAAATAAGCCAGCATCATTTTAGACTTTTATTTTTTGTGACCAACATGAAACATTATTATTCCCAATTTACGATGAGAATAATTAATTTTCTTTAAAATGAGTTTTTATCTAAAACATTCATGAGAAACTAGTTCCACTGCCTCAAAAAAAATGTCTGGCGTATGAGTATTGAAACAGCTCTCACTGCCACGGACCACTGTGATTGTTAGAAAGCCTCATTTTATATATTGAGCTAAAAAATCAGTTTCCTTACAACTTTTACTCATAGATCCTAATTTTACTATTAGGGGCCACACAAAACAAGTCTTCCTTAAGATATTGACCGTATATTTGGCATATATTTGAATGTAGATGTCTCATACACTAGAAACTAACAAGACCATCTTTGATATGCTACTTCAAAGAAAAACCAAGTTGAAAAAAATACATGGCAAGATTTTATATTAGTTTCCTAGGCTGCTGTAATAAAAATACCACAAACCAAGTGGCTTGGAACAATAGAAATTTGTTCTATCACAGTCCTAGATGTCCAAAATGAAGGTGCTGGCAGGGCCATGCTCCTTCTAAAGGCTCTAGGGAAGAATCTTTCCCTTGTCTCTTTCTAGCTTCTGGCGGTTGCCAGCAATCCTTGGCATTCCTTGGCTTAGAGCTGCGTCACTTCACTCTCTGCCACCATCATTACATGGCCTCTTCCCTTGTGTTTCTCTGCTGTGCCTCTGTGACAGAATCTGCCTTTTCTTTCTCTTATAAAGATGCCAATCACTGGACTTAAGCCAACCTTAATATAATATGACCTCACCTTAACTTTATTAATATGTGCAAAGACTCTATTGCTAAAAAGGTCATATTCACAGGTACTAGGGGTTAGGATATGAACATATATTTGGGGGCAAGCACAATTCAACCCATTACAACTGTATAGGGCATCAATATTCTCAAAAATTATATAAGTCTGTATGCTTAAAATATTTCATGACTTCAAAAAAGTTTAAAGAGGAATTATGTCAGTAGAAGGTAAGATAAGTTCACATAAATATTCCAAAAACAGTAAAGGAGAAAACCCACATTTCGCTGCTCATAAGTAGTAATTCAAATGTTAATAACACTCCAGTTGAGTGTTTACTACATATCAAAACTATCTTGAGCTCTTTACATGCATTAGCTCATGCATTCCTCACAACAGTCACATGGTAGGCATGGCAGATAGACAGAACAATAATGCAACCCTTCCTTTCCCCAAAAAGATGTTCACATTTGTATCTCAGAACGTGTAAATATGTTACTTTGCATGGCAAAAGGGCCATGTACAAACGTGATTAAAGTTACAGACCTTAAAATAGGGAAATTATTCTGAATTATCTGAATGGGCCCAATCTAATCATATGAGCCCTTAGAGAACCTTTCCAGGCTAGAGTGAGAGAGAGAGAGACAGACACAGAGTGACGTGATGGAAGAAGCAGCAAGAGAGATTCAAAGAGTGAGAGGGATTCAATCCATTGTTGCTGAATTTGAAGATGAAGGACGGGGCCATGAGCCAAGAAATGAAGTTGGCCTCTGCAAGCTGGGAAGATCCCAGTGGACAGCCAATGAGGAAATGGAGACCTTAGGCCTACAATCACAGAAAACTGATTTCTGCCAACAATCTGAATGAACAAGGAAACAGATTCTCCTGTAGAGAGTCCAAAAAGGCATGCAGCCCTGCCAATAACCTGCTTTTAGTCCAGTAAGGACCTTGTCAGACTTTTAACCTATATAAGATAATAAATTTATATTCTTTTAAACCACTAAGCTTATGGTAATTTGTTACAGCAGATAAAAAACTAACACAGTAGGTCAATATTATCACTACCATTTACAGACCAAAAAGCAAGCAATTCATTTCAGAAATATTAAGTAATATGTCTAAGGTCACACAAATACTAAGCAGCAGAACAGAAATTTAAAAAGAAATGTTCCTCAAAGTAAAGCTCATGCTTTTTTTTTTATCACAACGTTATACTGTTCATCTCAAGAAATGATAAGATCCCAAGGAAGTTAGTTTTAAAAATAAAAGAAACAAAAATTATGTTGACCCAGTGCCTCATCACATATGGTACTGACACTCATGTCAATAAATTTAAGCAGACAACTTTTATGGCCTAAAAAATGCTTGACTACAACAGCAGAGTTGACTTTCAGAAGATTTATATGTGAGCAAATATATATTTGTAAACCTTTTCCTCTCCCCTTCTTTTCCCTTATCCCTCCCCCTCCAATATCCCACCAACCTAAAATATTGTTATACAGCAAACAGCCAAGGAGAGCCAAGACGTTCCTCAAAAATAAGTTTGGGAGACTTGTTCCTCTCTTTAAAACTTCAAAACTTCATACGGCCACAGTAATTAAGATGGGATAAGAAAACAGACCAATGGAATGAAACAGAGACTCCAGAAACAGATTTATGCATATATGAAAACTGGATAGGTGACAGAGCTTGCCATTGATAATCATAGGAGAACGAGTAGACTATTTTAGAAATGGTTCTGGAATAATTGACTGTTTATATGGAGGAAAAAAATGAAATTGGATCACCATGTCACTCCATACAAAATCAATAGCAGATCAATTAAATGACTCCATTTTATTTGTGAATATTCTCAACTTAATGACAGTATAGTTATTTGCATAAGTGCAATAAGAAACTGTTTTCTTTTGTAACAGGACACAACTGGAGAAACTAGTTATTTCACCAAGGCTTTGACTGGAATGGCATGCTTCTTTAAAGAATCAAAGTTGACTTGTAGAGCCAATAAAAGCCCCTTGGGAAATGTGGCCTCATACCTTGTCTATGCCATCTCTGTACAAGATTCCCGACTTGTGGTAAGTAAAGAATGTCAACTTTCTAACAGGTCCAGGAGCCCCAAGCTATATAGGAACCTCAAGAGGAGAGGAGAGGAATTTAGCCAACTCGTAGGTATTTGAGGGTACGAACCCATAGCTGGGCTCAGCTTTATAAAAGTCTTATCTAAGATTCCTTATGGAATAGAGTTCCATCGAAGCCAATTTTTAAAGCCTATGTGAAAAATCATTATTCTTGCTGTACTTTATGCAAATAATCAGGCCAAGTACAATAAGACTAAAGTTTATGTTGTAAACAACTCAATTATATCATGATTTGTTATTAATAAACATGGGGACTGGAGAGAGAAAAATTACGGTTCAAAAGAAAAAATATAGTATACCTGTTGTTAGCTGTTCTCAAAGTTTTTTTCTGCAGTTTGGACTAAATCCTTGAGGGCTACAAGTCCCCAAACTAATATTTTCAAATCTTTACTTTTAAAACTAAGAATTGCACCCCTTACCCTAGTACTCAATATTTACCTTATAGTATGCTGTTCTCTTAAATGTGGTACTAAAACTATAGATGACAATACTAACACCTTTGCCATGCAAACCTTGGAACCCCAACCAGGCCTGCATGAGTATGCTCAGACAGTTGCAAAGTGGTTCCACTCCTCTCACCTTGGGGTCAACACCTACCCCCACTATCCCCCTGATCAGCAGGAAGAAGTTAGAGCGGTCTTCACACTTTTTCCATCTTCATTAGCCAACACTTTAAGATTAAGGTGTTATAAAATCCAAAGGGAAGGACTGAAGCAACCATTGCAAAATTATAACTGAAGACAGTGAAACAGATCTAGTCTAACCAATGCCATCTTCTAACCTCCAAACTGTCCTTGTTCATTCCTGGGCAAAGGCTGAACTAACTTTGGGAGGAACTTAGTTTATAGTACAAAACAAAGACAATAACAGCCCTTTCCCAAAACAAACCTCCTTCTTGCCTGGTGACTAAACTGCCTTTGTAGGACTAACAAATTAGCCACAGGATTAAAAATTATGGTTTAGGAGTCATGCAGCTGGAGGCCACAAGATTCTGACCCTCCCTAAACTGCTCCCAAGATCAGTGTTTGAGAGATTTCGCAGACCCTGCATTCGATCGATCAGCTGGCACCACCCAGATCGATAAACTGACTCATCTGATCTTGTGGCTTCCACACAGGAACTGACTTAGTCCAAAAGGACAGCTTCAATTCCCTATTATTTCATCTTTGACCCAACCAATCAGCACTCTTGACTGACTGGCCTTCCCCCACCCACCAAATTATCCTTAAAAACTCTGATCCCCAGATGCTTGGGGAGACTGATTTGAGTAATAATAAAACTCAGGTCTCCCCCCAGCCAAAAAAAAATACTCCATTTGAAAGTCCAAACCTACAAATAAATAAGGGAAAGTATCCTTTTTGACTTCAGGTTAGGGAAAACATTTTAAGCATATCAGAAAAGCACTAAAGAAAAATATTGATAAGTTTAATCCATCAAATTTGAGAACGTCTGTTTATCAGAAGACACCATGAAGAAAATTAAAAGGCAACCTACAAACTTATAGAAGATAACTGAAAATCATATAACAAAGAATCAATATTGGGGGTATATAATGAACTCATACAAATCAATAAGGAAAAGACAAATTGTTCAACAGAAAAAAATGTTCCAATAATATGAATGGGTATTTTTTTAAAGAGGAATTATAAATGACCTATAAAACATGAAAAGCTGCTCAATCTCATTTGCAATCAGAGAAACACAAAATTAAAAACATAACAATAAGAATTTTACTACTGCCAAATTGGTAATAAATTAAAAGTCTATTAATGTGAAGTATTGGTGAAGATGTGGAGCAAAAACTTTTATAGTCTGCTGACAAATTGGTAGGACCACTTTGGAAACGTTGAGTATGTTTATTCTCTATGATCTTGTGGTTCCAAACATATATATGCACCCTAGAAAAATTCTTGAACATGTACAAGAGACATACACAAATGTTTCATTCTTTCTGTCTCTCCAAATCCCTGGCATCAATAGTAGTGTCAATAGTAGCACTTGTAATTGCAAAACCTGGGAACAAACCAAATATTCCCCAACAAGACAACAGTTAAATTATAATATATTCATACAATGAAATACACTGCTGAAAATGAATTAAATACAGCTACATGCATTAACATAAAAATATCTCAGAAATATGTTAAGGGAATAAAGGAAGTCATGGTATCATTTCATCCATAGAAATGTAAAAACATAAAACTAAACAAGATTTTGGATAAAGATATATACACATAATTTTTAAAACTGAAAATAGCAAGAGAATGAGGAACACAAAATTTAGCATAGTGCTTTCCTCTTGTTGGAGGTGATAATGAGTGAGGGGGTGCTGCAGGGCTTGCAAATGCACGAATAATACTCTGTTTCTTAAGCTAGAGATGGGTACTCACCTATTATTCTTTTGCCCATATGATATAGTTCACTATAAACATTTTATACATCAGTGTAGAAAATATATATTGTGAGGAGTTGTTTTCAAGCTGTGTTTCTCTGAGCTGCCTAAATAACCACTGTAAGAGAGAGTAATTGGGGTGGCCAGAGCAGTAGGAGTGTTAAGGAGGTAAGACTCTGGGCTCTCCCACTTCAATTTCACTCAGAGCAGCTGCATCCATCTGAATATAGAGGAGGTTGGAAAAGAACTTCAAGCAGGATTATTCTGCAGAAAGAAGGGTACACACTGAATTACAAGGTCCCCTTGTACAGTTAGGTATTTGTTTATATAGCATTAGCTATTTGGCAGAGGGCCAAATATATCAAAAACTCAAGTATCAGCAGCCATTGCCCAGTGATGACAAATTCAAACTTAAGGTAAAATAGTTGTGAAATGATATTATAGGTCAAGGTGAGAAAACTGGTACGTATTTACTTGCAACCTTTCAGGAACCCATCAACAATGAAATGGATAAAGAGGGGTGGCTTTTCTCTAAGCTTCTATCCTTGGTTCCTTCTTCCAACCAGCTGTAAGTTTCATAATGATTTCCAACATCATAAAGTGGTCTGTCTCATTCTTTTTCCCCCTACCTCAGCTGTTCACTCTCTCTCTCATTCATTCTCTCCAATAAAATGTTCCATGTGACTATAAATTTTTTCTTTTATAAAATGTGTCAGCAAATGTGAAAAATTTTCAACTTCTCATTATTTCAGTCTCTCCAAATCCTTAACATCAATCATATGATATTACTGCAAAAATATTCTAATCTAGCTATATGATTCAGCAATTCCAGTATATAAATGCATACCATCAAAAATGTTTTTATGGCTTTTATTTTTTCTTTTCAATATAGCATTTTCAACCTGGTGCAACATCCCCGTTTTGTCTTTTTGTCTGGCAGAGGTCACTTTTGACAGTGCCTTTGTGTTTCAGCAGAAATGGATAATCTGCTTCATAAGGGTAGTTTTATGCTCTGACTTACCCTTTAATTACTTTTTAATAATGTATTTGGTATATTTTTGCATGGCAGTTCATCACTTTCTTTGCAAAGTTTCTTTGTAAGTGAGAATGAAAACATTTATTCTGAATAGTATTGAATGAAGCTATTACAGAGAAGGTATATCCTCACTTCACAATAGGCATAGGTTATGAAAAGGTGGGTACAGATGAAATTTCCGTAAATCCAGCCTTATCTTTCCATAAACAAATATGTTCATTTCTAATATGCTTTCTATTCATATTTGAGTGATTATCACTGATTGATTATTCGCCCTTTAACTCATTATTTTATTTAGTTCTCTCCTCCAAGTTGTTAATATTCTATAAATATACATCAAATGCACCAAGAGAATGTAATATTTAAAGAACCAAAAGGAGAAGTTTTGGGATATGGGAAGGCATTTTGTAATGCAACTAATCACCTTCCTAATTTGTTGAGGCTTTTAACTTTGAACTTCATTTACAGATAAATACTCTTATAAATGAATACCTATATAAAGGATTCTGTATAAAAAAGGATTTCTAAGTCCTAATGGATGATCTTGTACTCAGTAAAGGAGTTACTCTATGCACTGCATCACAAACTAGTGTACCAACACCGACGGGAGATATAGCAGTGTTCTATAGAATTTGGCACACATCCTGGCACATCTTCCTAGGATTTTAATATTACTCAAAGACCAGGAAAATACTAGAAGTTAACTAAATAATTAAATGCAGTATTTTCCATTAAAACAGACATTCTGCAACAGAAAGTTATATTCATATGTTAAAGTAACATACAAGAATTCCAAAAATTGTCTTGCTTTAGAAGGTACTTAGAATGTTGCTCCCTCACCCTCACAGTTACAAAGTTAACTCTTCTCTGCCATTAGGGGTAATTTGCCAGAAAAGTTTGAGAGGCCAGATCTACAGCATTTCTGATAGGAAGGTATCCAGTCTCTATTTGAAAATTGCATAGCATATGTGGGCTTTCACCTCAAAAACATAAAGGATTCCACCGTTCAAAAAGCCTTTAAGGGCAGGCTGGCCACCTTACCTGCCTCCATCTTATTCCTTCAGGTACTAACATGCCTCTGTTCCCCGTCTTCTTCCCCCATTCAAGGTTAGTTTCTTTTTCCACAGTTAAAGGCTACATATTATTGAACCATAAGAAAAGCAGCCTTAGCAACCTCAATGACGAAGCTCTTCTCATGCCCGCTGTTTTTCCCTCTGCCTGACTCCCTCTCTGGAATGGGGGTAGGTAAGAAGAGATCAGAGCTGAGGCGACCTGGTCAGACTCCTGCCTCTGGGGCTGGAGAAGGTAGGGTCCATGCGCTCCCTGGGATTCCAGTGCAGTACACTTCAGTTCCCACTGTGCCCTGCGAGCCAAATCATGGAGGACGCTGAAGGATTCGACCATAGCAAAGAACTGTATAGTGACGGTAGAAGGGGAGAATCATTTAGAAATCAGCAAAGATGGCCCGGCGCGGTGGCTGACGCCTGTAATCCCAGCACTTTGGGAGGCTGAGTCAGGTGGATCACGAGGTCAGGAGATGGAGACCATCCTGGCTAACATGGTGAAATCCCGTCTCTACCGAAAATACAAAAAAATTAGCTGGGCGTGGTGGCACGCGTCTGTAGCCCCAGCTACTCGGGAGGCTCAGGCAGGAGAATGGCGTGAACCCGGGAGGCGGAGCTTGCAGTGAGCCGAGATCGCGCCACTGCTCCCCAGCCTGGGCGACAGAGCGAGACTCCATCCAAAAAAAAAAAAAAAAAAGAAAGAAAGAAAGGAAAAAAAATTAAGAAACAAATCAGCAAAGATCTAGTGAATAACTTTTGGGGGACGTTCAGGTAAACAACTTAGGTGAAAAAGACGATACACCAGTCCATTTATGTGACAAATGTGAATTATCAATTAAAATCTATGGACGGATGATTACATGTAAGCATGTTTTTTGCTAGGTCTGTGCTATTTTACATGGAAAAGGAAGAGATAAGATGTGTCCAGGCTGTAGCAATCCTGTGAAGCAAATTGAGAAACATACACAAGGTTTTATCTTCATGTGTAGCACACTTCAAGGGTTCAAGAGGGACCTAGAGGCTCATATCAACTACTGTCATATGAGAGTGTAAAACCCTGTTGCTTGTGCCTGACTAGAAAATGTTCATCCTCCATGATACCCCATCACGAATTGAAATCCCTAACCATTTTATGATGCGGCCAGACAAGCACCATATGAGCCAATATTCCCCCAAAGCAGCACATTATGATACCTACTTTCTTTGCAGCATTTGCCACATGAGCTACATCATTAGCCCCAAGGATATTCATGCTCCTGCAGCAGAATTGTTCACGGCTTTACCTCCATCTCCTTCAGTAAGTCAAGGAACCTTTGTATTTCAACAAGAAAACATGGCAATTTCATAACTGTTCCTATTCAAAAGCACTCCAATTCAGGTGCTTGAGAACCACACCTACTTCCTCCACATTTGCTCACCATCATCCTGAATATCAAGGTCAACGAGTAGTATTGAGTTCTTATAATACTCTACCTCCATAGCTACATTCTGTACCATAGCACCTCTTCTGCTACCAACAAGCCATGCAATGCCACATCTTCCTTAGGCTGCAGGTACTCCTCACTTGGTTCATAGCTAAGCTTCAAGTCCAGCAATGACCTCTACTCTACCACTCTCTTCACGGACATAGTATTGTCCAGATGCCACCTCATATAAGATATCTTCTTCCAGGACCTGCCTCACAACAACATGTAAAAACACACCCTTCTCACCATTATAATCATAACTCTTTACCCAAGTTCACTGAATATCAAGGAACTCCGAGTCCTCCATTTATACAACCAGGGGAAATGATTCATGACATGTGGCCTGTACCTGGACGGCCACCCCTTCCTCTATGAATGCAGAATCTACCTTCTCAAACCCTACTTCTTGGGACACATCATCCGGGTCAGACAAGATACAGACCATATTACCAATGATAATACTATTTTGAGCAGGCTATATGATAAGAGGAAAAAGTAAATATTGTCAACCTTCTAATCATGCTTTTGACTGAGGAAGGCAAAGCATCTCTTACAGAGGTGCCCGTAAAACACGTCTTATCTGTTAAAATAGTTTTAAACTGTGATCTTGGGAATGATTGCGAGTATTTTACTATAGTGTAGATAAATGGTTTAGTTGAACATAGCTGTATTTTATCAACTTTGTTACTCTAGTGTGGTAAATTGACCCCAAACTGACCATTTGCAATATTATTTTCTTAAAAATATGTGTGTTCTGCTTCCAAAATATTGTTTCTGTTAAACTCAATGTTTAGTTTTTATTGTGATATATTTTGTTAACCTGGGTAAAAGGAGTAAATTTCATTATTGGTGGTTAAGACAGCAATATGAGCTTTATACACAAATCTCAGTGTAATTTAGAATGTCCTTGTTTCTAGGGCCAAGTTGTTCTTTCTCAATGTAGCTAGGCTCTGTGGTCCAAATCATCTGTAGGCTGAGCACTGCCGTGGATTTTAGAACCCATACAAATGAGGGCGGGCACAGTGGCTCACACTTGTAATTCCAGCACTTTGGGAGGCCGAGGCAGATGGATCACCTGTGGTCAGGAGATCGAGACCACCCTGGCCAAAATGGCGAAACCCCGTCTCTACTAAAAATACAAAAATGAGCTGGGCATGGTGGTGCATGCCTGTAATCCCAGCCACTCAGGAGGCTGAGGCAGGAGAATCACTTGAACCAGGGAGGCAGAGGTTGCAGTGAGTCAAGATCATGCCACTGCACTCCAGCCTGGGCCACAGAGCGAGACTCCATCTCAAACAAACAAACAAACAAACAAAAATACCCAAAACAAAACAAAAAAGAACCCATACAAATGAGAAGCATTTAAGCAGCTCTAGCCCAAACCTTTCAAACCCAGCATCAAATTCTTCTTGCTACTCCAACTCTGACCTTATGCCCTAGTTATAATGGGACACCTCTACTTTCTTGAGAGTCAGTGTTCACCTCATACTCTGGTTACAGTTACTAAGGCAATGCCTTTTCTTCTTCCTATGCATGAATCTCTATCCAGGAAATTTATTAGGCAGTATTACCCCTCTAGGACTGTGACCTTGACTTGTCTTTGCCAGTATAAGGGTAAATAA
Organism: Homo sapiens; assembly: GCF_000001405.40. Classification (NCBI taxonomy): domain Eukaryota; kingdom Metazoa; phylum Chordata; class Mammalia; order Primates; family Hominidae; genus Homo; species Homo sapiens. Next base: position 343,175 of record NW_021160027.1, on the reverse strand, counting down.
AATTCTAAAAATTAACTTAAAATTCTTCCTGGTATAAAAAAGTGAAGAGAACTTGCTCTGTTTTCTTTTAGTATTTCCTTCAGAAAACTTGAGATTATAAATGTTAGCTCTGTCTCTTTGAAATGTATATAAATTTTTTTCAAAGCTAATAAACCTCTTGACAGTTTTGCAGCCAAGTGTGCCAATTCTTAGGTGTCATTCTTAGGTGCCAAGGAGCACTTCGAACACCAAAGTGAACACCAAAAAGAATGATGCCCTATCTCCCTGCCTGTGGGATCAGCTCCAAAATGTAACTTCTTACTTGTCAAAAACATATGAGAAATGTTATTTTTCCTTTCAATAAATACAGTGAACATGTATGTAATGAATTAACATATACATAAAACATAGAAGATTGAGAGTGTTTTTGTCTTCGCAGTTGTTTTAATGCATTGCCTGTGAGGCATATGGTTTAGTGCTTATTCAATGACAAAACTATTTCATTCTTTCCTATGTTTTATATACAGGTTGTATTGGGTTGGCAGGAGATTTTGTGTTTAATTATTTCCCCAACAATTTAGCAATGAGGATAGGATCTTTCTGGCAATTTCTGAATTGGGTAGATCATCTGAAAGACTTGTGGTCACACAACAGTTAGGTAAGAGACCCTGAATTATAGAAAAGTCTCCTTTCTAGCTCTTCACTTTTTGGAATACTACCTGAGCCATCCACTCCAAATTCAAGATTTTATTATTGAGTGAGGGTGGGTGATACCAGAGCTAAAAATCCCATCAGGATCACTATTATCTTTGATGGTAGAAAAATATGGGAAGCCAGAAATGTTGCCTGCAGGTGTTTCTTTTAAATCTCTTAAATTCGAATACCTTTTTGTCACATTTGGAATGAGCATACATGTAAGAATCTAGTTTTACAGTTTCTTTAATTTGGACAAATTATAGTTGGCCTTCCATATCTGTGGGTTCTGTATACAGAAATTCAACCAACCACAGATCAAAAATGTAGTGAAGCCTATGATGGTTGTGTCTGTGCTGAACATTTACAGACTTTTTTTCTTGTTATTCCCTAAACAATACAGTATAACAGCTGTTCATACACCATTTACATTGTATTAGGTATTAGTAATCTAGAGATGATTTAAAGTATACAGGAGGATGTGTATGGGTTATATGAAAATATGATACCATTTTATAGAAGGCATTTAGGTACTCAAGGATTTTGGTACTTTGGGGGATCCTGGAGCCAATCCCCCGTGTATATAAAGGAATGACTGTAACGTATCTGGGTGGGTCTTATCTTAAAAATCTCTCACTTCAGCCATAAGAATTACTGGTATTTATGAGATAACTGCCATTCTAAGGGGAAAATTTTAAAAATGATTTAATAACAAGAAGGAAAGATTGAGGAAAATGGAAGAGGAAATACAAGAATTAAAGCGACTTTCTCTTTCACATAAACCTCTTCCTTTCTCTGCTGTCCCAACTGTCTCTGAACCCCGTGCACTTCTCTCTTTCCCTGCATCAAATTGACTCCTGGCAAGAAGGAGGCACTGATCTTTTAGATAGTTGCTTGGGTTCCCCTGAGCGGTGGTAGCAGCCACCACTCTTATTGAAAAGGCTCAAGCCCTTACATTGGGTCACTAGATTTATTTGAGTATTCTACATATGATGATAGTTATACATACATAAAACAGCCTTTGTTGGTATGCCATCAGAGTGACTATGAACAAGCATTGTTATCCAATTCTAATACCATGCCTGGGAGATGCAATTTCCTAGACCTTTGTACTCTTTTGCCAGATCTTAGTCAAACATATCACGACCGTAAAATGATCATAGAGGCAAATGCTAGGCCCCAATCTGATGATCTTATACTCCTTTTCAAAATGCAGATTTCATAGTGTTTACTGATGGACCATGTACTTGGGATAAATTGGCCAACTGAAGGTTTCTTATGCTGTGGTGTCTGATCATGAGCTCTTGGAAGCTTATGTTTTGTCTGGAATTAAGTTGGCACAAGTAGGTAAGTTAATAGCCGTCACTAGTGCTAAAATTCTTGGTCTGGACTTAGAGTGAATATATATGCCAGTGATAAATATATGTTTGGTGTATATTATGCAACAGGGCAAATTTGGAAAAATAGATTATTGACTTCAACGGGAACTACAATGTCTCATGGATAATCAAGAGATGATTTGTTAGAAGCCTTACAACTACCTGTTCAGATATCAGTAATCCACTATAGAATTCACACAGAATAGAATTATGAAATTTATGAAGGCAATGATTTTGCCAACAGCTGCAAAAGTCGTTGTTAAAACATGTCAGACTTCAAACTTAGAAGCCCCACTTTTAATACAAAGAACCTGTATTTATTTTCAGAAAAATAAGATTCATGAAGGGAAACAGACAAATATTGAAAAGGAGTTAAAAGAAATTCAACTGGACTATAGGAATTATCCATAAAATAATTCCTATACCACAGTATTTGCTTGATTCATTTTTGTTGCATTATCAAACAAAATGATTTACGTAACAGAGGGATGTTAAAGACACTAGACTCTAGCCAGGTGTGGTGGCTCACACCTGAAATCCCAGCTACTCTGGATGATAGCTTGAGTCCAGGAGTTCATAGCCTACAGTGAGCTATTATCATGCCACTGCACTCCTATCTGGGCAACAGAGAAATACTCTATCTCTTAAATAAATACATGAAGAGACACTAGACTCTTACTACATCAATCAGAAAGACGAAATTATTCAAAACATATTAAAAAGACTTGTTATTTGTGAGCAGAATACTTTACAGGCCACTTCCAAGTACCACAGAAAAATTTCCTCAATCAACTTTACCAGAAAACTGATGGCACTTAGATTTCATGGAATTAGTGTCTATAGAGGGAATTCAATTTCATAGAATTAATGCCTAAAGAAGAGATTTTGTCTGGTTATGGTGTATATGACATCTGAATGGCCTAAGTCTTTCCCTCTTCAAACGCTTATGCTCAAGTAGTGGTAAAGGTCCTCTTAATGCACATAACCCCACTTTTGGGCTCTCAGAGCTTATTCAGTCAGACAGAGGAAATAATTTTATGTGCACTGTTGTCCAGGAATTATGCAGATATTTGCAGATTACTATAAGCTATCATCATACTCCAAGTAGAATAGATGATTCAAACAGTAACAAACTCACTGGCTATGATTCAACAATCGACTATGTTAAAATGGCCTGGATATTTACCAATGGCTTTGTTAAAATTGGCTTTGTTAAAAATTAGAGTGACTCTTGCAATTAATAATGTTATCTCTCTCTTTGAACTTATGTTCGGCAAGCCTGTGAATTTAGGTCTGAAACCACTTACTCTGCTTGCTTTAACAATTCTTTCATAATCATGTTCAATAGCTAAAAGGGCTTCTCTCTTTTCTAGACATCCTGAGACATAAAGTGAAAAGGACCTAGAAGGAACTACTGGAAGAAATATCACCCCTATTAAACTGGGCAATTTTGTTTAAATATGAGTGTTCTGGAGGAAACATGCATTGTCACCAGGCTGGATGGGACCCTTTCAAGTGCCACGATCACTCATATGGGTATCAGAGTGAAAGAAAAACCAGATGGTTTCATGCTTTCCATGTGAAGCCAGCTCCTCAGGAGGACTAGACTGCAGTTTCCACAAAGGATTTGAAGTTTAATTTCCTAGAGTGACTAATATTGGTAATGAACTCAACTGAAAGGAGGTATTCTAAGGAATGTATTATTCTGACTACCTTGCTGTCCTAGTTGCAATAGTGTTTTGTTCAATTACTATAAGAATCACATTTTATTAGAAAATAAACATGTTATTTGTTACACCACTTTTTCTTTCTGTACTCCCAATAATGGTTCCTACAGTCACATTTCCTCTCTCCTCTGAATTGTATTCCCAGTACAGAAATGCTGGGCCTGCATTTATGAATCCAACAGTCTGATTATTGGCCAAATAAACACAAGACCATGTTCATTACTATGTTTTAATATCAAAGTAAAAGTAACTACTATGCATCCAGAAACCAAAGCCCTAAATTTCACACAAAAAAATTTGTTAACTGGTTTGATTGGAAGTATAGTATAGAAAAGAAATGCATCTAATTAAGTGTCTGGCATTTATGGATAGAGACCTCAGAAGACAGCTCTAATGTCAATCGATTAACTTGAGAATAGAAGTTTTCTCCAGTCCTACTATGGATAGATAAACAAAGGTGGATATGCCTGTTATCTATGGTTATTTAGTTAACTGTTATAATAATATAACTACTGGTTTGGACCGAGGTAAGAAATGGCCCAAAAGTTGGCTTTGTCCTCCAGACTTAAAACTATTAGAGCCATGTACACTAAACACTGGAAATTCAATCTGTGCCCTTCAACGGGTACTTCATAATAAGACTTTGATACTATATAATGGCCACGAGTGTCTTTGCATTTTGCATCTGGGAGAAATTATTTGGGAAGATGGGATAATTACCAAAAGGCCTAGTTTATCCTATAAATGCAATATTACTCCTGTGACTGCTGAGAACTCAGAGGAAATTCATTGGGCCTTACAAGAAAAACTCAGTTAAAAAACATATATTATCAGGCTCCAGAGTTAAGCTATTAACTCGGCTAGGATAGGGATTTCTTTCTTTTTTGTTTGTTTGTTTGTTTTCTGAAGATGGATTCTCACTCAATAGCCCAGGCTGGAGTGCAGTGGTGCGATCTCAGCTCACTGCAACCTCCGCCTCCTGGGTTCAAGTGATTCTCCTGCCTCGGCCTCCTGAGTAGCTGGGATTATAGGCATGTTCCACCACGCCAGGTTAATTTTTGTATTTTTAGTAGAGACAGGGTTTCACCATGTTGGTCAGGCTGGTCTCAAACTCCTGACCTCATGATCCGCTGGCCTCAGCTTCCCAAAGTGCTGGGATTACAGGCGTGAGCCACTGTGCCTGGCCAGATTTCATTTTCTAAAACTACAAAATAATACTCAAGTAGTTAATCATTTGAAAGCAGAAACAAAGACATGACAACAGTTTATAAAATTAATGTATCATGAGGATAATTTTTGTGTATGGCTAATCAAATATCTGCTTTAACCATTCACAACTGGTATATTTAAAGATTCCCCCAAGAAAAATATTGTACTAATTTTTGATTCATCCCATTATAATTCTGATAATTGCTTTATTTTGTATTTTACCATGGACTTGCTGGATATAAATATCTAAAGACTGCTGCAAACTGCCCAGAGAAAGGTTAAAATGTCAGAGTAAACAATTGGAAAACTGTAGTTTTAGTAGAAAATAGTAACAAGGAAAATTGTAAGGGTAAATACAAATCTAAAAATGAATTTTAATTTAAAATTTTCCTCAGTGCAAAAAGGAAAGAACTATTCCCCCTCCCTTTTCTTTCAGCATTTCCTTCAGAAAATGGAATTATAAATAAACTTCTTGCCAGTTTTGCATCCTAGGAATGTCATTCTTTTTTTTTCTTTTATTATTATACTTTAAGTTTTAGGGTACATGTGCACATTGTGCAGGTTAGTTACATATGTATACATGTGCCACGCTGGTGCGCTGCACCCACTAACTCGTCATCTAGCATTAGGTATATTTCCCAATGCTATCCCTCCCCCCTCCCCCCACCCCACAACAGTCCCCAGAGTGTGATGTTCCCCTTCCTGTGTCCATGTGATCTCATTGTTCAATTCCCACCTATGAGTGAGAATATGCGGTGTTTGGGTTTTTGTTCTTGCGATAGTTTACTGAGAATGATGATTTCCAATTTCATCCATGTCCCTACAAAGGACATGAACTCATCATTTTTTATGGCTGCATAGTATTCCATGGTGTATATGTGCCACATTTTCTTAATCCAGTCTATCGTTGTTGGACATTTGGGTTGGTTCCAAGTCTTTGCTATTGTGAATAGTGCCGCAATAAACATACGTGTGCATGTGTCTTTATAGCAGCATGATTTATAGTCCTTTGGGTATATACCCAGTAATGGGATGGCTGGGTCAAATGGTATTTCTAGTTCTAGATCCCTGAGGAATCTCCACACTGACTTCCACAATGGTTGAACTAGTTTACAGTCCCACCAACAGTGTAAAAGTGTTCCTATTTCTCCACATCCTCTCCAGCATCTGCTGTTTCCTGACTTTTTAATGATTGCCATTCTAACTGGTGTGAGATGGTATCTCATTGTGGTTTTGATTTGCATTTCTCTGATGGCCAGTGATGATGAGCATTTTTTCATGTGTTTTTTGGCTGTATAAATGTCTTCTTTTGAGAAGTGTCTGTTCATCTCCTTTGCCCACTTTTTGATGGGGTTGTCATTCTTAATGGCCAAGGAGCCACTTCTTTTAAAAGTGAACACTAAAACAGGTGGTGCTCTCTTTCCCTGTGGAAATTTAGCTCCAAGATATAACCTCCTGCTTATCAAAAATATATGAGAGATTGTATTTTTCCTTTGGATAAATACAATTAACATGTATACAATAGATTAACATATACATAAAACAAAAGGGCAAGAGTTCTTTTTTGTCTTTGTAATCTCTTTAGGGTATTGCCTGTGATGTGCATCATGGTCTGGTTTAATGCTTATTCATTATATTTCATTCTGTTCTACATTCTGTGAAGATATTTTACTGGATTGGCAAGAGATTTGGTTTAGTCATTTTCCCCCACCACCAGCCATGTACCTCAGGACAAAAGTTTTTCCCTAGACCTCTAGCCCAGGGGCTAAAATCCTGAAACACAGTGATCTGCTGAATTCACTTGTTGCAGGCTGCTCAATAGCTGCCTAGATTTTCTAGCTAATTTAATCAAACTCTACTTTAGTGACACTAATGAGGTTAAGTGAAACCCTTAGTTTCATCTGGAAAACATACTGATACCCTCAGCATGCTAAAAGCACATCGATATGCTCTAGGATGTATTCACACTTCAGTTCCCACCAGTTGAACTGTATGCTTAAGAAGAGATAAGCCCCATTTACCCATAAATAATTCAAATCAGCATTGCTTTCTTTTTAAAATTAATTTTATTGGAGTATAATTCTCAGAGTAATATGCACCCACTTAAGTGTAAAGTTAAATAAGTCTTGACAAATGTGGATACTAGCGTATCTACCACAATCAAGACATAGAATATTTCTGTACAACAAAAAGTTCCCTGTAGCAGCTTTGTAGTCATTCCCTAACTCATCACTGGCCTCAGACAACCACTGGTACTATAGATCAGTTTTGCTTGTTCCAGTAGTTCATCTTAATGGAATTATACAATATGTATTGTTTGGCGTCTGGTTTCTTTTGTTCAATGTGTTTTGAAATCAACCCATGTTGTTGCATGTAGTAGTTTGCTGCATCAGTAGTTTACTCCTTTTATTATGAAGTAATATTCCATTGCATTAATGTACTACATTTTTTGTTCTTTTAAATGTTGATAGCTATTTTTATTGACTTCCAGTTTGGGACAATAATAAATAAAGCTATTAAGAGCATTCATGTGTAAGTTATTTTGTGACCATATGTTTCCTTTTATTTGCAATGTATAAGGAGATAGAAGTCCAAAATTCTGGGTAATATAAAAGTATATTGACCTTTGTAAAAAAACAAAAACTACCAAGATGGCTGACTGTACCATGTTACACACTCACCAACAATATATGAGTTCCAGTAGTTCTGCATCTTCCTCAAAACCTGAGATTATCAGTCTTTTTTAGTTTTAGTCATTCCAGTGGGTATAGACTGGTATCTCATTGTGTTTTTTATTTGCATCCTTCTGTTGACTAATGATGTTAAACATCTTTTAAAGTGCTTAATGGCTATTCATATCTCCTTTCGTGAGGTGTCTGTTTAAATCTTTTTCCCATTAATATTGTATTGCTTGTCTTCTTACTAAGATATAATAGTCATTTATATATTATGGATAAAAGCCCTTTATCAGATGTATGTATTGCAAATATTTTCTCTCTGCCTGTGAACTGCCTTCTAATTTTCCTTTTGAAGAGCAGAATTTGTCGTTTTTTATGTTTAGTGCGAGGCTGTAAAGATTTTCTCCTGGCCGGGCACGGAGGCTCACTCCTGTAATCCCAGCACTTTGGGAAGCTGGGACGGGCAGATCACGACGTCAGGAGACCGAGACCATCCTGGCTAACACGGTGAAACCCCGTGTCTACTAAAAAAATACAAAAAAATTAGCCGGGCATGGTGGTGGGCTCCTTTAGTCCCAGCTACTCGGGGAGCTGAGGCAGGAGAATGGCATGAACCCGGGAGGCAGAGCTTGCAGTGAGCTGAGATCGCGCCACTGCACTCCAGCCTGGGTGACAGAGTGAGACTCCATCTCAAAAAAAAAAAAAATTTATCCTATGGATTATTTTAGAAATTTTTATAATTTTAGTTGTGTTTAATTCTACAATCAATTTAAAGTAAACATTGTGTATGATGTGAGGTAATGGTCAGTGTCCATTTTTTCCCATATGGTTATCTATTTTTTCTAGTACCAGTTGCTGAAAGGCTATCCTTTCTCCAGGAATTACTTTGGCAGTTTTGTCAAAAATAAATTGAACATATGAACATATATGTGCATGTTTTTTTAAACTCTATTATTGGGCAAGTCCTAGTGCTGTGCTGGGCTCAGAGCCAGTGGATTTGGGGGCACGTGACATAGTGAGACACCAGCCAGGGCACCCAAGGGAGTGCTTGCACCACGCCTCCCCCAAAACCAGGAAGCACAGCTCACAGCTCTGGTAAAGACTCCCTCTTTCTGCTTGAGGAGAGGAGAGGGAAGAGCAAAGAGGACTTCATCTTGCAACTTGGATATCAGCTCAGCTACAGTAGGACAGGGCACCAGGCAGAGTCCTGAGGCCCCCATTTCAGGCCCTAGCACCTGGGCAACATTTCTAGACACACCCTGGGCCTGAAGGGAACCCATTGCCCTGAAGGGAAGAACCCAGTCCTGGCAACATTCATTACTTGCTGACTAAAGAGCCCTTGGGCGCTGAATAATCAGCAGCAATACCCAGGCCGTGGGCCGTGGGTGAGACTCTGAGACACGCTGGCTTCAGGTGTGACCCAGCATATTCCCAGCTATGGTGGGTATGGGCAGAGACTCCTGCTTGAGTAAAGGAGAGGGAAGAGTAAAGGGGACTTTGTGTTGCAGCTTAGGTACCAGCTCAGCTGCAGTGGGATACAGAACCAAGTGGAATCTTGGGGTCCCTGATTCCAGGCCTTGACTCTTAGATGGCATTTCTGGACCTTCCCTAGGCCAGAGGGGAGATCACTGCCCTGATGAGAGAGTCCAAGGCCTAGAAGCATTCACCATAAGCTGACTGAAGAGCCCTTGCTCCTTGAATGAGCATTGCCAGGAGCTAGGCAGTACTCACCACAAGCCTGGGGCAATGGTAGCCATGGGAAAGAGTTGTCTGCTTGTGAAAAGGGAAGATAAGAGTGGGAAGAAACTTGTCTTGTAGCTTGGGTGCCAGTGCAGCAGCAGTAGAATAGAGAACCAGGTAGATTCCTAAGGCTTCTGACTCCAGGCCCTGGCTCCTGGACAGCATTTCTGGATCCACCCAGACCTGGGGGAACTTGCCACCTTAAAGGGAAAGAGACAGGCTTGACTGGCTTGGCCACTTGCCTACTGTAGAGCCCTAGATCCTTCAGCAAATATAGGGAGTAGCCAGGCAGTACAGACTGTGGGTCTTGCACAAGACCCAGTACTGTGCTGGCTTCAGGTCCATAGTCCCAGTGGTGGTGGCCACAGGGGTGCTTGTGTCACCCCATCCACAGCTCCAGGCAGTGCAGCACAGAGAGAGAAAATCTGGGAGAAATAAGGGAAGAGAACAAGAGTCTCTGGCTGGTAACCCAGAGAATTCTTCCAAATCTTATCCAAGACCACAAAGGTGGGTACACCTGTGAGTCTACAAGAGCCACAGCATTGCTGAGCTTGAGATAGCTCCCAATACAGTTCCAGCTGCAGAGACCAGAAATGTATATTACAACCACCAAAGTCCATTTCAGTACCTGGAAAGTCTTCCTAAGAAGGATAGGTACAAACAAGCCTAGACTTGTCATGAAGATTAAAATCAATAGGTAAATCTTCAGTGCCCAAACACTAACAAACATCCACATGCATCAAGACCATCCAGGAAAACATGACCTTACAAAATGAACAAAATAAGTCACCAGAGACCAATCATGGAGAGACAGAGATACATAACATTTCAGACAGATAATTTGAAATAGCCGTTTTGAGGAAACTCAAAGAAATTCAAGATAATACAGAGTAGTAATTGAGGAACCTATCAGTTAAATTTAACAAACAGACTGAAAAAATTTAAAAGAATCAAACAAATTCTCGAGTTGAGAAATGCAACTGACATACTGAAGAATGCATCAGAGTCACAAAAACAGAACTCATCAAGAAGAAGAAAGAATTAGTGGGCTTGAAGACAAGCTATTTGAAAATACATTCAGAGGAGACAAAAAAAAAAGAATGAAGCACACCTGCAAGATCCAGAAAATAGATTGAAAACAGCAACTCTAAGAGTTATTGGACATAAAGAGGAGGTAGAGAGAAAGATAGGGGTAGAAAGTTTATTCAAAGGGATAATAACAGTGAAGTTCCCAAACCTAGAGTAAGACATCAATATTCAAGTACAAGAATGTTATGGAACACCAAGCAGATTCAGCCCAAAGAAGACTACCTAAAGATATTTAATAATTAGGGCCAGACGCAGGGGCTCATGCCTTAATCTCAGCATTTGGGAGGCTGAAGTGGGCAGATCACCTGAGGTCGGGACCAGCCTGACCAACATGGAGAAACCCCGTCTCTACTAAAAAGAAGAAAAAAAAAATTAGCCCGGCATTGTGGCGCATGCCTGTAATCCCAGCTAATCTGGAGGCTGAGGCAGGAGAGTCACTTGAACTCAAGAGGCATTAAACAGAGCTATAGTAACAAAAACAGCATGGTAGTGGCACAAAAATAGACACATAGACCAATGGAACAGAATAGAGAACCTAGAAACAAATCCACACACCTACACTGAACTCATTTTCAACAAAGGTGCCAAGAACATACATTGGGGAGAAGACAGTCCCTTCAATAAATGGTGCTGGGAAAACTGGGTATCCATATGCAGAAGGATGAAACTAGACCTTTGTTTCTTGCCATATACAAAAATAAATCAAAATGGATTAAAAACATAAATCTAAGACCTTAATTTACAAAACTAATAAAAGAAAACATGGCAGAAAGGTTCAGAACATTAGACTGGGCAAAGATTTGTTGAGTAGAGTAGTACCCCAAAAGCACAGGCAACCAAAGCAAAAATAGATAAATGGGATCACAAATATTTGCAAGCTATCCAGGTGACAAGGGATGAATAATCAGAATATATAAGAAGCTCAAACAACTCTACAGAAAAAAAATCTAAAAATCTAATTTTCAAATGGGCAAAAGATTTGAATAGACATTTCTCAAAAGAAGACATACAAATGGCAAACAGGCATATGAAAAGGTGCTCGACATCATTGATCATCAGAGAAATGCAAATCAAAACTATGATGAGATATCATCTCATCCCAGTTAAAATGGCTTTTATCCAAAAGACAGGCAATAACAAATTCTGGTGAGAATCTGGAGAAAAGGGAACCCTCCTACATTCTTGGTGAGAATGTAAATTAGTACAACCACTGTGGAGAACAGTTTCTTCAAAAACTAAAAATAGATCTACCATATAATCCAGTAATCCCACTGCTAAGTATGTACCCAAAAGAAATGAAGTCAGTACATCTAAGTGATATCTGCACTTCCATGTCTATCACAGCACTATTCACAATTGCCAAGATTTGGAAGCAACCTAAGTGCCCATCAACAGATGAATGGATAAAGAAAATGTGATATGTATATAGATACACACACACACACGTGTATATATACTACAAATATAGAGTATATATGTACTACTCATCCATAAAAAGAATGAGATCTTGTCATTTGCAATTGAAGCAGCCTCACTGTCTGAGGTGTTATCCAGAGTTCTTTGTGTCATGACCAAGAAAAACAAGGAGCATATACACCAACAGTGAGGTTGGAGTGAAAGTTTAATAAGCAAAAGAGGAAAGCTCTCCACAGCAGAGAGGGGGTCCAAGAGGGTTGCTGTTTTACAGTTGAACACAAAAGCTTTTATTAGAAAGTTCCCCTGTCTGTGTAGCTGCCTGTGTGACTGCCCTTACCCATGCGGTCACAGGCATTTCTCAGGCAAGCCTCCCGCTACCCGTGCAAATTTGTGCGGAACCCACCATGTACATGTCCGTAGAAGGGGAGGAAACTTTTTCCTGGGTGCCCGCTGATTACACAAAGAACAAAGGCGTTTCTATGTTGGGACTTGCTCTCTTATCTGTGCAGCTGCAGCTTTATTTTTCAAGCTGTTTCTCTGTTTAAAAGAATTCTACCAAGGACCTGCCTTAACTGTCTGTTTTTTGTTGTTGTTGTTGTTGTTTGTTTCTTTGTTTGTTTTCCTTTCTCCTCCCTCACAATAGCATGGATGGAACTGGAGACTATTTTGTTAAGTGACATGAGCCATGCAGAGAAAGACAGACTTCACATGTTCTCACCTGTTTGTGGAAGCTAAAAATGAAAACAATTGAACTCATGGAGATAGAGAGTAGAACAATGGTTACCAGAGGCTGGGAAGGGTAATAGGAGGCTGGGGTGGAGGTAAGAGTAGTTAATGAGTACCAAAAAAAATAGAAAGAATGAATGACATACTATTTGATAGCACAACAGGGTGACTATAGTCAATAATAACTTAATTGTACATTTTAAAATTACTAAGAGTGTAATTGGATTGCTTGTAACACAAAGAAAGGATAAATGCTTGAGGTGATGGATACCTCATTTACCCTGATGTGAATATTACACACTCTATGCCTGCATCAAAATATCTTGTGTACCTTATAAATATACACACCTACTGCTCACCCACAAAAATTAAATATAAAAATTGTTAAATAAATAAAAAGGTAGTTGAAGGTTACTGAGTTTCATTAAGTGAAATGACTAACATGTGGTGGTTTCCTGATTAAAGCCCCTTAATTTGGAAACACTGCCTGCTCACTTGCTTACTTGTTTGCCTGTTCTTTTATATACGTGTATCATCATAGATAAATTAGAAAGAAATTTATCCCTTTGTATTCCAAAAAAAGGTAAGGAATTTGTCATTAGCTTTCTCCATGGATACACTGTTTCCTCTCTGGGGAACAGAGGGCCCACACTTGTCCTAGTTAGAATTATCATCTAGAACTCCCCACAGAAGCTTGGCTCCGGACTGCAAACAAAACTGTTCTTTCATACTCGATCATATGAGTCATTCTAGCGGTGGGGTTCAGTACCATTGGGGCAGTTGAAGAGTCACAACTTCAGACAGAAGACAAGAAGTATGGCTAATATCAGGATATTTGGGGGCATTGTATTTGATAGAGAATAAATAGTATATAAAACTTTCAAATGAATGTTTTAAGTTAAAATTAGATATTTAAATATATGTATTTACAATTCCCTGATGTAATTGATTTTTTGATTAGTTAACTCTAGTCCTGATCATATAAGAGAGACTTTACTGTATTCTTTACTACTAATTTGTCATTGCAATTGCCTCAATCCATCTCACAGACATAGAAACGCACATGCATGTACACTCACACACAGTAAACTACTGGCCTAGACTCTGACATACCGTCTGTTTGCATGTTTAGGGCTAACCTGCACTGCGTGTTGTACTGTGAACTTCCTCCTAAACTCTGCAGCTGGATCTGTGCCTGCCTCAACCCAGTTAGGCCAATATAGCTGCAGATATCAGTCTTTTCAAGTGTGCCTCTTTTTGTTTTAAGATATGATACTAGTTATGACCTCTGGAGTGTCTCAGGCTCTTGAAGAGAGTAAAGCTCCTATCCACATTTTTTCTACTCTTTTTTTGTGCAAATTCACTTCAGAAAAGCTGTATTTAACTTGATTTTCTCTCCAAGAATGTAAGTAGTAGATTCATTTTAGCCAAATGTCATTATAGCAAAATTAACTCAGTTTATCATGGGGTTTGAACTTCCAATGCAGTGATTTTCTGACTTTAGTGTACATAAAAATCTCCAGAGGAGTAGCTAAAAACACATATAGTGTACATAAAAATCTCCAGAGGAGTAGCTAAAAACACGTATTCCTGAGCCCCATCCCCCCAGTACAAGAGATTCTGAGTTAGTAGGTCTAGGGTGGAGTCCATGAATCTACCTTTTATATAAGCACTAAGGTGATTCTAATGTCAGGGGTGCTGTGGACCACACTTTGAAAAGTCATCTTATTAGATTGTTAATAAAGCCCACATGAATCTGCTCAACTAATAGAAACACAAATTTTCCTTTCAGTGCTTTCAAGAATATGCATCTGGAAGCCTGCATTTTCTCCTCTGATAGCATGAAATGCACAGAAGGAAATCAAGAGCTAAACTTCCGGCACTGTCCCTTTAAACAGCATCATTATTCTGAAAATGGAATATTTGCTTGCTTCCTTCACAAAGAAAACATTCTGTTTGCTGTGGGAGTAAAGGGTGTTATGATTGTGAAACTTTGTTCACCAGACAAATTCCAGTCCTGTCATATGACTTTAGACAATGCTCTCTCTTAGCTCTTCGTATAGCACTTCAGAATCCTGAGGAGGTAGTTTCCATGTAGGCTAATGTCAGTGTTATTTAGAGGACATACAAACAGAATCAAGACTTAGAGCTACTTAAGGGGACACAACAGTGGCCTCCCCAGCAACAGGACTTGCACTTGCTGGAGCCACTGAGTCACCCTAGAGCACAGACCACCCACTTCTTTTAAAGGTGTGGGAAGTGAATTACTTCTCAGGCTCAAACTTCAGAGTCTGGCTCAAACACCCCTTGGGATGCCCTTTCCATACCTGGATGCCAGGCTCCTATAAGACTTCAGGCAATGGCAGAAATATGAGGATTCTGTTTCAGCTCTGACACTTGACTAAGACCTTGAGCAAATCATTTCACTATTATAGGCCTATAGAATTAGGATATCAATATTTACCTCAAAAGATGATTACAAAAGTTGAGTTTAGTTTATAAAAATATGTAGCACAGTACCTGGTAGTAAACCACTGCAACATTCATTCTTTCATTTCTCCCTCATAATTTGGTCTGGAGCCATTGCCACACCAATCACTCAATAGCAGTGAGAGTGTCTCCAGCCACCAGCTAGCTCAGGGCGGCACCCTTTTGCAATCGACACGGTGTGCCATTTAATATGGTTGATTTCATGGGCTGGCAGTTATCTTAACAGTTGAGGTTGGTCATCAGTTACCAGTATGATAGAGTAGCAAGCAGGTTATGAGTTTTAATGCTAATTGAGGATGTCTCTTTTTCTTAAAATCTCATTTTAATCTATTTATTTTCACAGTATTTTCATGAAATTTAAAAAGTAAATACAGCAATATTTGGATTTACCTAACAAATCAAGAAAGGCAAGGGCTCACAGAGGTACAAAGGAGGCTATGCAATTTTCTGAAAACCTGATGAATGCTATGAATGCTGTCTCCTGGGGAGAAAAATACACATACACATCATATTTTGCATTCAATTTATGAAGGTTCACAGACTCCCCACAGATCATCAACAAAACCCAGACTAAGAAGCTCTGATATGAGTATTGTCATTTACCATTCTTTCTCAAGTAAACAAGGATTCTGGGTCAACCCTGAGCCCCTCCTAACCCTAATAATAACATATGAACTCCTTCTCTGTGAAGGCTATTAAAACCCCACAGAAAACTCATGTGGACTTCTTTAACAAACACGTGGGTTCTCAAAAGGACTACATGCAGCGTATGTCTAGGCAATGATGGGGTTGCCCTGGTGAGGTGATTAGAAACTCAATTAGTTTGGAAAATATGTTTTCCAGCTTCTATAAATTTGGCAGAGACAGAAGGCAGGATGAAGGGAATAGTACAAGGAAGACTAAGTTTTCTCCAAAGGCCCCATTCAAAATTTAGGAGTCATGTTATCCACATTGCTCACATGATATTGCAACTATGTTGGGAAATGCTTCTGCTCCACTCTCAAGCACTGCCTCCCACCTTCCCCATTCTGCTTTTTCTAATGGGGATTTCAGAATATCAACTTGCCAATTCTCTGATTCTCAGATATAAAAGTCAAACAGTGAGAGATCTGTTTTTCAGGTGACAATCAGCTGGGAGAGGCAAGGATAAAACAGACTGCATACAGTAAATAGCAGGAATTAGACATCAGGCAAAAAGCAAGTGGCAGCTATGTTCAATTAGCTTTTATTATTATATATATTTTAAAACTTTCAGTGTATGCATGGCATGGTTATCCATAACCCAATTTCCTCCTACAAACAGAGACTATGTTTTAAGGGTCAGAATGTAGCATCATTCAGATATAAAGGTAACAATCCTGGCCTTGCTTCAACAAAATGTAAATGCAGAGTTGTTTCTCCATAACAATCATCTCCACTTTCCCTCAACCATTGTGATTAAAGATACGCGTTTGAGAGGAAGCTGGTCAAATCAGTAGTGCAAGCTGTGGCTAAAGAATAAGATGTGTTGTGGTTTACATGCACATCCTTGACTTCATTAGCACAAATCTTTGTCCTCATCAGACCCATCTAAAGAATCACAAAATGCAAACAGAGGATTTGTCACTTTTTCTAGACAAATGATATTCAAGGAAAAAATTAAGGAGATCAGTGAGAGGCTGGAAAGAAAATGATCTTGAAATTAATAGGCAAATAAAGACTTTTCAAGAAAATGAAGAAATTGAAAGAAATCTTCGGAAATGAAAAAATAGGACTCATCCCATTCTAATACTCAGCTAACACAGAAAAGCAGTTCTCAGTGCTTGAGAGAACCAGTGAGGACCAGTGAAGATACACAAGTGACAAGTTATGTTGCCTATTCACAAGACTTGAGGGGAAAATTCAAAATTATCCATCAAAGGGAAGGTTATTTAAAGATCTCAGGGGTTGCTACTGCATTTTCTGCTCTTCTCTGGCTATATTCTTTTTTAAAATACCTCATCTAGCCCCACAGATATAAATACCATGTATACACCAATTATTCTCAAATTTATTTCTCCACCCCTGACTTTCCCCAGATCTGTATGCTCCACTGACTATTTAATTGCAATTCTCAAAGTAACCAATTAAAAAATAACTAAAATAATATACAAAAGGAAATGATGAGGGCATCAAAGGGTATAATAGGAAAAATACAGAAAAGAAGGCAGAATTGGAGAAATTGCAGAACAGAAGTTATATAAGCAATATAGAAAACAAATAGCAAAATGACAGAAATGAGTCCTTCCATATCAATAATCACTTTAAATGTAAATGAGTTAAACTCACCAATTAAAAGACACAGATTGGCAATGTGGATTAAGAAAAATGATTCAATGACATGTTTTCATTCATATACAGGAGCTAGAAAAGTTGATCTCATGGAGGTAAAAGGTAGAATGTTACCAGAGGCAAGGAAGCAGAGGAGGGATGAGGGGGGTTGGTTAATAGGTACAAACACACAGTTGAATAGAAGGAGTAATTTCTGGTGATCAGTGGCACAATAGGGTGACTATAGTTGACAATAATTTATTGTATATTTCTAAATACCTAGAAGAAGAGATTTGAATATTCCCAACATAGAGAAATGATGAATGTTTCAGGTGATGAATATTGTAAATACTCTGATTGATCATTACACATTATGTGCCTTTATCAAAATATCATATGTACCTCATAAACATGTTCAATTACTGTATATCAATTTATAAAATAAAAAATACTCTCTCTCAAAAAAGAGAAATGATTCATCTGTATGCTGTCTACAATAGACTCAGTTTAGACCCAAAGACACAAATAAGTTGAAAGTAAAAGAATGACAGCTACTCGGGAGGCTGAGACAGGAGAATGGTGTGAACCTGGGAGGCAGAGCTTGCAGTGAGCCGAAATCGCGCCACTGCACTCCAGCCTGGGCGACAGAGTGAGACTCCATCTCAAAAAAAAAAAAAAAAAAAAAGAATGAAATAAAATATATTCCATGCAAACAGTAAATAAACAGAAGAGAGCTTAAGTGGCTATATTAATAAACAAAATGGATATTTAGCCAAAAACTGTTACAAGGGACAAAAAAGAGATTATATACTAATAAATGAATCAAGAAGATATAACAATTATAGATATAAGTGTACCAACAAAAGGGCCCCAAAATACATGAAGCAATTATTGACAGAATTGAAAAGATAAACAGATAATAATACTTGGTTCTACCATAATACTTGGAGGCTTCAATGTCTCATTTTCAATAATGGATAGAACATCTAGACAGAAGATCAATTTAAAAATACAGGACTTAAACAACACTATAGACCAAATATCCAACAGACAGATAGACATTCTACCAAACAATAGTAGAATACATATTCTTCTCAAGTGCATGTAAAATATTCTTCAAAATTTATTGCATGTTAGGATACAAAACAAATCCCAGTAAATTTTAAAATATTGTAATCATACAAAGCATCTTGTCTGACAGCAAAGGGATGACACCAGAAATCAATAACAGAAAGAATATTGGAGAATTCATAAATATGTGAAAATTAAACAACATATTCTTAAACAACTGTGCAAATTAATCATATAAATTTGGTCACTCTTGTCATACCCAACTAAAACAGAGTTGAGAGCTCAAGGGGAAAAAAGCACTCAGGGCACACAACATTGCTCCAAAAAATGTAATTCTTTGCAAGCCTGCTGTAACTTGAAATCAGTTTTATTTAATGGCTATTTAAAGAAACTTTTGCAACTCTAAGACTGGTTTTACCCACTGCTGTCACTCACCAATCAGAGTTTTCCAGCATCCCAAAACCTTACTAAGTGTCAACGAACTTTCCTGACAAGTAATACATAACATTTCTCTTTTTTTTTTTATAAAACCTCTAACCTTCTCTTTATTCTTTAGACATACCAGAGACCACGTACGTGGTCAGCACATATGCCCCAAATTGGGATTCTTTTTTCCCAAATAAAATGTTTTAATTTCAGAGATTTATCTCATATTTTATTTGATTTTGACATACTTGACAGAAGTGGGGTCCAAAGCTGTCTAACCTTGGAGAAAAATCACCAGCCCTTGGAACTACAGCATAAGGAACGCACACTGGGGCCCTATGATCCCCCCACTTCTGCAGATTGCCTCTTTTCCCCTTGGCAAGTCTCTCTTGCACTGAATTCCTGATTTGGGTTGAGTTCTGTTTTATTTAGGACTTGGATGGGGAGGGTTTTTTTCTCCTTTATGCCTGATCTACTTGGGAGAGCTACTATTCAAGAGTACTCTTCCCCTTGGAGACCCTGGCTTTGGAATCTGGGCTAAGGGATTTTTTTCCCCTTCAGGTTGAGACCTTGGTGAAGGGATCTTTCCTTTTCCCTTCAGTTGGAGAAGGCAACTTACCATTATTCTTGGTAAGCGTATACTTTATTTTCTGTCTGTGCTTGAGTTTATTTGGTCATTGAGTATTCAGCTCTTGCATTTAATTGGCTTTTGTGTATTTGGTATTAAATCAGAGCACTCACAAAATGGGCTCTCAAAATTCAAAGGCATGCCAAGATATTTTCTGGGACTCATGTTCAAATATTATAGGAATCATTCAGTCTGCTGTTCTTAAAACTAAACCAAAAGATCATGGCTATAAAAGCATATACTCCAAATAAGATACGCATATCTCACTGAGATCTGATAAAAGAGAGAAAATCATTCAGAACTCAAAGATTGTCTCATACAAAATACTGTCTCAAAGCTGGCTGAACTCTTTCCTCTCTGCAGTTTTCCCCTCCCCTTCTTAAAATTTCTCTTTATGCTTCTCTAAGATAAACTCTCTTTTTCCAAAACTCCTGAGCTATTCTAACATACTATTTAAGTAAAACACTTGAAAACCAGCAGGTATAAAAAAATCATTTTGATCTTCATGCTGTTTCCTTTGCAAAAAAAAAAAAAGAAATTCCCATGTGAAGACAAATGTATCCTATACTAAGGGGAATGGCAACATTCTTATCTTCAAGGACAAAGAATTGAGACCAAAAAATAATACTGTATAGACTCTGTTAGAATAACTCTTATCTTTTGGGCCTCCTCCCATAATTCAGTCACATTTTCACAGTTAACTGTCCTTTGTCCAATCCAGTATATTGGTAACTGACTCAAACTGCTTTACCCAAATTTTGGTTCACAGCCTTTATAAGACTGCCATTTTTAAAAATCTTAAAGTTTAGCCTTGTCACATTTCATCAGATAAATGATTTGGATCCAACAGATTTCCATAAACTGATGAGTTGATGTATTTTACTATCTCATGACTAGAATTCTAAAATAAATGCTATGAGATTTTTATTTATATGTATATGTATTTAGGTGTGTTTATACATATATACATGCATTATGCTGTATGTTGTGTCTACATAATAAAATCTGGTGTAGTTAGCCAAAATCCCTAAAAGAATGTTATTCCAATTGGTTTAAATAAATGAGTACTCATAAAATATATAGTAATTAAACCAATTTTTTTAAGTTCACATGACTTAAGTAAATCTTTAACAAATAGTTTGGATTTAAAATTATTGGTAAAACAGTCTTCAAAATTGTTAGTGTACACTTTTTCCTGGGTTTACAATTCAGACAGTCTTATAAACTTCACGAATATTTTAAAGTGTCAGGGTTTGACATAAAGGTCATAAAGCTATAAAATCAGCCTAAAACAGAATGATCTTTGCATACTTTTTTGATAAATATTCTTAAATTTAATATTGTTGATTTAATAAAAACAGTTGCATCTCCTGAGATAACAATAAGATATCCACGTATTTAACTCTGAAGTTTATAGCCTACTAAACCAGGCAAACACCTGATTAAATACATGGATAACCAAGTTTATAGCCTATTAAGTCAGGTAATAGGCTATAAACTTGGTTAGTAAAAAAAACTTGAAAGAAATAACTAGCTCCATCTAATATCTAAGTTTTCATAGGCAATCTATATATAATTGTTAAATTAGATAACTGTAAATGGAATAAATGTTTATAAATGAACTTTTCATGTAATTTAAAATCTTAAAGTTATGTTGTTTTAAATTGAAAAATAATACTCATTAAATGTCTGGATCATTTACAATTAAGGGAAATTTTATGTTATAATGAAACATGTTTCTAAAAATTATAAAATTGTTCTCATCTATAAAATACAAATGCATGACAGATAACTCAAAATTTCTTACTTCCTAGGTTTCCACTAAAATTTAAAGTTACCAAGAGTTGAAAATTCTAATTAATATATAAAATTCTGTATGTAAAGTGTGCCAAAAAGAGATGTTTTTAAAAGAAAAAAAGTGTGACAGGAATAAAAATGTTCATTATTGAGAAAAAGAAAATTTTGTGTAAGAAAAAATCTTGTGGTAAATATTTTTGTGTGAAAATTAAATGACTGGTTATTTAAGGAAGAGGAAATATGAGACAGAGCGGATAGTCCAACCATGTTTTCAAAGTTCTGAGTAACATCGTAATAAGATTTGTGTAAAGAAAATGTATAAGGCCGGGCGCGGTGGCTCACGCCTGTAATCCCAGCACTTTGGGAGGCCAAGGCGGGCGGATCACGAGGTCAGGAGATCGAGACCATCCTGGCTAACATGGTAAAACCCCGTCTCTACTAAAAATACAAAAAATTAGCCAGGCGTGGTGGCGGGCGCCTGTAGTCCCAGCTACTCGGGAGGCTGAGGCAGGAGAATGGCGTGAACCCGGGAGACGGAGCTTGCAGTGAGCCAAGATTGCACCACTGCACTCCAGCCTGGGTGACAGAGCGAGACTGTGCCTCAAAAAATAAAATAAAATAAAATAAAAATTTATAAAAAGAATTTTGTATGTGATCAAGTTGGCTATAATTAAAATAATTTATGAAGTCTTTCTTCTTTTTTTTTTTTTTTTTTAGAGACGGAGTCTCGCTCTGTCGCCCAGGCTGGAGTGCAGTGGCGTGATCTCCGCTCACTGCAAGCTCCGCCTCCCGGGTTCACGCTATTCTCCTGCCTCAGCTTCGCGAGTAGCTGGGGGACTGCAGGCGCCCGCCACCACGCCCGGCTAATTTTTTTGTATTTTTAGTAGAGACAGGGTTCCACCGTGTTAGCCAGGATGGTCTCGACCTCCTGACCTTGTGATCCGCCCGCCTCAGCCTCCCAAAGTGCTGGGATTACAGGCATGAGCCACCGTGCTCGGCCTGAAAATACGCATAAAATGCCTGACTTCAAGTATTCCCAGCCCTACAGTAAATAAATAAATATTGTCACTTCCTGGAAGGCTTGGGGACCTTAAGACTGTAAACAAAATCTAAAATCTGCATTGGTTTGGCTTCTTAGCCTCAAGACGCTTGTAAATCTGAGAATCCTATGTGATTAATAAAGGAAAAAGTTATGTTTCCAAAGAGAAACTATAATATACTTATTATTAGATTAAAACCCTGTACACTGTTTTTGAGTTTTTGTTATATACCTATAGATTAGTCTACATCCTAAATTTTTCTGGGTTACTCCAATCCGACATTGTTCCAAAACATTACTGAAACGTAAACTGTTCTGTTTCTAAAGCCCTATAAGCTGAAACTAGATAAATTTTAAAGTGCTTGTCTTGTGCCTGATGTATAGGCCACACAGAAGGCTCACCAAGCTGCCTGATGCCATATCAAGAGACATTCAAACTGCAAACAAGGATAAGAGGTTGATATTTTCCATGCTGTAAACAACTTTTCTTAAGACATCAGAACAAGACTCCATATCATAATGAGACTCTTACCTCCCTTAATGATGCCTATTTGACTTGGCAGAATAATTCTGTAGTTAAGATTTCACAATCGGTAACCCATATAGGTAACTTGACAAAACCCAATCTAAGAAATCCTTTGAGTCCACCTAGTGGGTAACTTTGGCAATATCGCTAAGACAACTTTTTGTTCAAATTGTACTGGTGACTCCTTTTGCAAAGCTGGCATTCTCTGCTTTAATTCAACCCAATCATAAAATACTACCGGTCTCAACGGGTCTCACCCAGTTTCCCCAATGGTCTATTGATTTGTTTAGTTTGTTGCCCTCAGGCTTGATGCTTAGTTCAAAATCACTGTACAAACTAAATTTTTTATATTGTTAATTGTTTATATTATGATTTTTAAACTTCATCCTCATTGCCTGACTAATCTGTGTAAAGCCAATTCTCCTAACAGGATAATGTTAGCTCAACACTTCAGGATGATTGCCGATGCCTAAAACTGATAAGATGGAATTCAATGCTGGACTCCAAACAAACCTACCCTGAGACTTTTTCTTCTGGCTTCTTTGTTACTTAAATACGTCCAAGATCCCTGACAGACACCTCCCATACCTTCCCCCTGACTTGGGACAGAGACAACCAGGATAGGCCCATCACAGAGCCAAGGGACGATTAAAACTAACTGCAAAATTGTTGATCATCCATGCTTTCACAGAAAGATCTTGATCGAAAGGGGGAAATGTGAAAGTCAATTATACAAATTGGGTCATTCTTATCATACCCAACTAAAACAGAGTTGAGAGGTCTGGGGAAGAAAGCATTCAGGGCACATAACGTGGTTTGAAAAATATAATTCTCAGCAAGTTGGCTGTTGGAACTGCCTGCTGTAACTTGAAACCAGTTTTATCTAATGGCTGCTGAAAAACCTTCTGCAACTCTAAGACTTGGTTTGCTCATTGCCATCACTCCCCAATCATAACTTGTCAGCTCCCCCAAACCTTACCAATTGCAATGAACTTTCTTGAAGAGCAATATGTAACATTGATCCTTTTTATAAAACCTCTAACCTTCTCTTTGTTCTTCAGATATAACAAAGACCATCCAGTTTGTGAGCGTGCCCCAAATTA
Source organism: Homo sapiens (assembly GCF_000001405.40). NCBI lineage: Eukaryota > Metazoa > Chordata > Mammalia > Primates > Hominidae > Homo > Homo sapiens. Next base: position 319,170 of record NW_021160027.1, on the reverse strand, counting down.
CGATTATTTCTTCCCAAATAAAATGTTTTAATTTCTCTATATTTTATTTGACTGTGACACAACCAATGGGTCAAGAAAGGAACCACAAGGGAAATCAGAGAATACTTTTATAAAAATGAAAATGAAAACACAGCATACCAAAAACTTGTAGAAGGAAGTAAAAGCAGTGCTATATATAGCTCTAAATGTTACAATAGAATACATTACAATAGAAGCTGTATCTCAAAATCAGTTACCTAATGTTACATATTAAAGACTAGAAAAATAAAAGTAAACTAAACCGAAAGCTAGCAGAATAAAGGAAATAAAATTTAGAGAAGAAATACATGAAATAGAGAACAGAAAACAAAACAGAATCACTGAAACCAAAAAGTTGGTTCATTGAAAAAATATCAACAAAACTGACAAGTCTGTACCTAGACTATGGAAAAAAGAGAAGATGCAAATAACTAAAATTAGAAATGGAAGTGTGGTATTACTCCAAAACTTGCAGAAATCAAAAGGATTATAAATGATTATGAACAATTTTATCTCTATAAATTGTCAAACTAATAAAACGACCAAAGAAGAAACAGAAAATCTGGATAGATCTATAACAAGTAAGGAAATAGAACTATTAATCAAAAACCTCTCAATGAAGAAAAGCTCAGAATCAGATGGCTTCACTGGTAAATTCTGCCAAACACTTAAAGAATTAACAGTATCAGTATGCTCTTTACTCAAATATTATTGATCTTCTTTCAGTTGTAAGAATGCTCAAAGTTCTTCTCTGTTATTCATTCCAATTCCTAGAATTCTCTTCTCAGATTTTTCAATATCTTATTTATATCTTATTTAAATATCTTGTATCTCATTCTTATCCTCAAACTTCAGCTTAACTGTTTTTCCTTTATAGAGGCCTCCCCAAATCATGCTACCTAGTAATTCCCCTCTATGTATTTTTTATCACAGGATGGTATTTATTTCAGAACCCTTATCCTGAAATTACCCTTATTTGTTTACCTTTTTGATCCTCTGTCTTCACCTTCCACACCCACTAGATTGAAATCCCATGAATGAAGAGTTCTTGTTCATCTAGTTTTCAGTAATATAACCACAGCCCAGCAAGGTACCTGACACAGAGTAGGCACTAAATAAATTTTGGTGAATTAATAAGTAATGGAAAAAAACACTTTATAGAGCCTTCGATCTAATTCAGTGACTGAAAATTTGGCACAAAAAATAACTGGTTTCATGTTGCTATTTTGGCAAACTAAAATATATTTATCTGATATCTTCCATCTTTCCCTACTGCCATCTTTTAAAAATATTTACCTTTAAATATTTTCCTAAAAACTTAAGATGAAGAATAATTTTTTAAACTATAGCTACATACAGTCATGTGATGCATAATGATGTTTTGGTCAACAGCAGGCCACATATATAACTCCATTATAATAAGATTATAACAGAGCTGAAAACTTCCTATTGCCTAGTGACTTGTAGCCATTATAATGTCATAGTACAATGCATTACTCACATGTTTTTGGTGATATTGATGTAAATAAACCTATTGTGCTGCCAGTTATATAAAAGTATAGCACACACAATTATGTACAGCATGTAGTACCTGATAATTATAATAAAAAGCTAGGTTCTTTATGTATTTACTATAGTATACTTTTCATTATTACATTACAAGGTACTCCTTATACATATAAAACATAAAATTTAACTGTAAAAAAGCCTCAAGCAGGTCTTTCAGGAGGTATTCCTGAAGACGGTATCGTTACAGATGACAGCTCCATGCATTATATTGCCCCTGAAGACCTTCCAATGGGACAAGATGTAGAGGTGAAAGACAATGATATTTATGAGCCTGACCCTGTGCAGGCCTAGGCTAATATGGGTATTTGTCTCTTAGTTAACAAAAAAGTTTGAAAAGTTAAAAAAAAAAAGATTATATAATAAGGATACAAAGAAATGAAATATTTGTGTACAGCTGTAAATGTGTTTGTGTTTTAAGCCGTTATTACAAAAGAGTCAAAAAGTTTAAAAAATTAAAAAGTTGGCTGGTGGCTGGGCGTGGTGGCTCACACCTGTAATCCCAGCACTTTGGGTGGCCATGGCAGGCAGATCACTTGAGGCCAGGAGTTTGAGACCAGCCTGGCCAACATGGTGAAAACCTGTCTCTACTAAAATACAAAAATTAGCTGGGCATGATGGTGCACACCTGTAATCCCAGATACTCAGGAGGCTGAGGCAGGAGAATCTCTTAAACCCGGCAGGTGGAGGTTGCAGTGAGCCGAGATTGTGCCACTGTACTCCAGCCTGGGTGACAGAGTGAGACACTGTCTCAAAAAAAAAAAATTAAAAAGTTAATAAAAAAGTTATAGTAAGCTAAGTTTATTATTGAAGAAAGAAAAATATTATTGTACATTTATTGTAAAAAATGAAAATAATAAATTTAGTGTAGCCTAAGTGTACAGTGTTTATAAAGTCTACAGTAGGGTACAGTACTAGGCCTTCAAATTCACTCACTACTCACTGACTCACCCAAAGCAATGTCTAGTCCTGCAAGCTCCATTCATAGTAAATATCCCATATAGAAATACCATTTTTTACGTTTTTTATACTGCATTTTTACTGTACCTTACCTATCAAGATACACAAATATCTATGTAGATACACAAATACCATTGTGTTACAATTACACTTTTGTAGCCTAGGAAAAATAGACTTGTAACACATAGCCTAGGTATGTAGTAGGCTATACCATCTATGTTTGTATAAGTACACTCTGATGTTCACACAATAATGACAAATGCCTAATGATGCATTTCTCAAAACATATCCACATCATTAAGTGATGCATGACTGTACTATCATCTGGCATTATTCTTCAGAAAACCATCATATCCTCTTTAAGAAGGCTAAAAAGGCTAAATATGCAATGTATTTTTGGATGTTAAGTTACAATGATAAGCAAAAGTCATTCCAGATGGTATTAAAAAGTAGCAGTAAATAGGAATCAGTATTCCCTAAGGGAGATTCTGAATAGTAAGAAACTGATATACATAAGTACAGGCATATCAGCCCCAGATATACATTCTCAGTCTACAGTCTCACAAGAGACCCAAATCAGAATGAGATGAGAGGGAAGGGTGACACCTTCATCTCAACCACATTTTCTATTTGGTTTGCCTGATTTTTTGTTACACCAGGTCAAATCCCTAAAATTATTACCTACCGACGGCCAGACTTTCTGGACAAAAAAGTTCCTTACAATCTCACAAGTTTTCATAATAAAATGAGCCCAAAATTTTGTTAAGGCCCTTGTACTACAATGAAGCACCTGAAAACTGAGACACTATCCAACTATACACCTTATTCAGAGGTCAGAAGGGGAGAAAACAAGGGCCAATAAATGCTGTCAGCAGCTGAGATACATCCACATAACTAGATGTGTTCTGAAAAAAATGTTTATTATTTTAGCTAACATGTATTGAATGCTTATAATGGGCCAGCTTTTTCTAGGGATTCATAATTTTTATTGCAGCTAAATCTCACAATAACTCTAAGAGATAGGTGCTGCCAAGATGCTCAATTTACCACTGAAGAAATCAAGCCTCTGAAATTTAGATAATTTGCCCCAAGTCTCACAAATAGTTAAATGACAAAGCTAGAAATTGAAGTCATGCAGTCTGATTCCAAGATTACAGCTCTTAACAGTTATAATGCTCAAGGGAAACAATTAGGCAAAAAAAAATGTATTGAGGAATACCATCTCAAAACTCATTTATCTATTTAAAATCACATAATTTGTAAGTCAGTTTATTAAGCCAAATATTAGACTCTCCTTATTCATTGCCATTTAAATCTGAGGGTTCTCTCCATGGACTTTGACAGTATTAACTAAAGGATATATGTACTGTATATTGTATACAATCAACATTTACTCAATAGGCTCAGTTAATTTGCATAACTCTAGGTAGGCTTCTTCTGTCTCTAGTCTTCTGTCCTGAGTCTTCTGTCCGATTTCCACCTGAGAGTCCTGAGCAACAGAAGTTAAGAGCTGGTGGCAAAAGCTATCACTTCATGTTGAAAGAGAAGGGAGGAAAATTCCAAGAACAATAGTGATGACTTTTCCAGAAAAGTGGCAAGCCATTTACCCATAGGTTACCTTATCTTGAGGTAATCATAAACTCTGCCATTGAAGACATTATTTCAGTAACTTTTGTTGCCTTAGACTAAAATTTACTATTTATTGACTTCACGGCTAATCACTGTCTCTGTCTCCACTCTAATGAAAACCATTTCAGGATAAGTATAAGAGCTAAGTAGTAATTTGTTGCAAGAATAAATCAGATGCTACAGGCTCCCAACTTCTATTTCTATTTCCACCTTGGTGTAAATGCCATTTCTTTTCTCCTCAGATAATCAGATGAGCCATTAATGGGCACTATATAAGGAGGAACCAGAGAAAGATTCAACAGAAGGTCTCTTCTGCAAGTAGAAGGGACCGCATTTTATCTGAAGCAGTTCTGCTTTACTTCAGAGAGATAAAAGAACTTCCACTTCCAAGGAGGTCAAGGATAGGATGAAGTAAGAGGCAAAAATGATCTTGTGTACGTTACCTAGTAATAAAAGTATTCCCACGTTTTAACATAACTGTTCTGAAGCTATTCCAAAATAGCTGCATCAAAATGTCTCCAGTGCCTAAAATGGTAATATTTAAAAGATGGAAGAGCAGATGCACTACTTTACATTTCTCCCACTAACTACAATTAACAACTCTGGACATTACATACAAAAAAACATGTGAAGATTCTAAAAGGTGGAGAAAAGGGGAATGAGCAACTAGGGGACTTGGGACCCAAGGAATGTCATGGTATTAAATTCTATGGTTTTATTCTTGCCTCATATATTTTTAATTGGGTTATTAGAACCCTGTAACCAGGAAGCACCAATGACTGCAGACTTAAAATGTTTCAAGAAAAACCTGCTCTCTCTAGCCAAAGGACCAGGAAAATGGCAGGCTAACGAGACGGAAAACTTTTAGAAAATAATCACCCTACTTCAGTGTCTTAGTTTGTTTTTGCTACTACAACAGAATACCACATACTGGGTAATTTACAATAAACAGAAATTTATTGGCTCACCATTTTGGAAGCTGAGAAGTCTGAGATCAAGGTGCTGCCATCTGGTGAGGGCCTTCTTCCTGCATAATAATATGGCAGAAGGCATCACATAGTGGAAGGGCAAAGAGAAGATGATACAGTGAGCAAGAGGGAGCAAGAAAGTGAGCAAGAGGAGGCAAACCCATTCCCATGATAATGGCATTACTCCATTCGTGAGAGTGGAACCCCCATGACCTAAATACCTTTTAAAGATCCCACCTCCCCTCATGCCTGTAATCTCAGAATTTGGGGAGGCCAAGGTGGGCAGATCACTTGAGCCCAGAAGTTCAAGACCAGTCTGGGCAACAAAGAGAGACCCTGTCTCTACAAAAAATAAAATAATTAGCTGGGTGTGGTGGCATGCACCTGCCGTCCAAGCTGAGGTGAAGGGAAGCTGAGGCAGGAGGATCATTTGAGCCTGGGAGTTCGAGGCTATGGTGAGCTATGATCGCACAACTGCACTCCAGCCTGGGTGACAGAAAGAGACACCATCGCAAAAGAAAAAAAAGGGTCCCACTTCCCAATGTAATCAAAATGGAAATTAAATTTCAACATGAGTTTTGAAAGGGACAAACATTTAAACCATAGCATTCAGTCAAACACCATGGAAAAAAATAAAAACCTACGGTCTCATCCCAACCCATGACAGCACAGGCCAAGTGGTAAACCTAGACTCCTACCTTCATAAAGCTGTAACAAGGCACCTCTTCCCTTCTCCCTCTCCACTGCCAGGGTGGTGACAAAGAAAGCTGAGTGGGTAGCCAGAACTTTCATTCTAGCCTGGCCTAGTGGTAAGGAGGCCCTCTTCAAGGGTGATAGTGGAAGCCACGTGAAAAAAACAGTAGCAAAGCACCCTTTTCCCTCCCAGCCAGTATCTGCAGAGTACTACTGGGGACTTGAAATTCCATCCCTGCCCAGAAGTAATGAGGGTCTCCTCTTTCTGAGATGTCAAAGGAGACCTAGTGGGAAATAGGCATGGGACTTTCATTCACAACTAACAGTAATGAGGCAGTATACCATTCATTGTGCTGGTGTAGTAAATAGTCATTATCTACTCAGTGATAAATATTGTATGCTTTAAAGAATAATCTTGGGTGTGGCTGGCAAGATGGCCAAATAAAAACAGCTCCAGTCTGCAGCTCCCAGAGAGATCAATGCAGAAAGCAGGTGATTTCTGCATTTCCAACTGAGGTACCCGGCTCATCTCATTGGGACTGGTTAGACAGTGAGTGCAACCCACGGAGGGCGAGCTGAAGCACGATGGGGTGTCTTCTCACCCAGGAAACACACAGGAGGTTGGGAAACTCCCTCCGGTAGCCAAAGGAAGCCGTGAGGGACTGTGCCATGAGGAATGGTGCATTCCGGCCCAGATACTACACTTTTCCCACGGTCTATGCAACCCACAGACCAGGAGATTCCCTCAGGTGCCTACACCACCAGGGCCCTGGGTTTCAAGCACAAAACTGGGCGGCTGTTTGGGCAGAAACAGAGCTAGCTGAAGGAGTATTTTTTCAGACCCCAGTGGTGACTGGAACACCAGCGAGACAGAACCGTTCACTCCCCTGGAAAGGGTGCTGTGGCCAGAGAGCCACGTGGTCTAGCTCAGCGGATCTCACCCCCACAGAGGCCAGCAAGCTAAGATCCACTGGCTTAAAATTCTTGCTGCCAGCACAGCAGTCTGAAGTGGACCTGGGATGCTCGAACTTGGTGGGAGGAGGGACATCCACCATTACTGAGGCTCGAGTAGGCGGTTTTCCCTCACAGTGTAAACAAAGCTGCCTCGAAGTTTAATCTGGACGGAGCCCACTGCAGCTCAGCAAAGCCGCTGTAGCCAGAATGCCTCTCTAGATTCCTCCTTTCTGGGCAGCGCATCTCTGAAAGAAAGGCAGCATCCCCAGTCAGGGTCTTATAAATAAAACTCCCATCTCCCTGGGACAGAGCACATGAGGGAAGGGGTGGCTGTAGGCACAGCTTCGGCAGACTTAAACGTTCCTGCCTGCTGCCTCTGAAGAGAGCAGCGAATCTCCCAGAACAGCGCTCAAGCTCTGCTAAGGGACAGACTGCCTCCTCAAGTGGGTCCCTGACCCCTGTGCCTCCTGACTGGGAGACACCTCCCAGCAGGGGTCGACAGATATCTCATACAGGAGAGCTCCGGCTGGCATCTGGCTGGTGCCCCTCTGGGATGAAGCTTCCAGAGGAAGGAACAGGCAGCAATCTTTGCTGGTCTGCAGCCTCCGCTTATGATACCCAGGCAAACAGGGTCTGGAGTGGACCTCCAGCAAACTCCAGCAGACCTGGAGAAGAGGGGCCTGACTGTTAGAAGGAAAACTAACAAACAGGAAGGAATAGTATCAATATCAACAAAAAGGACGTCCACACCAAAACCCCATCTGAAGATTACCAACATCAAAGACCAAAGGTAGATAAATCCATGAAGATGAGGAAAAACCAGCACAAAAAGGCTGAAAATTCCAAAAACCAGAATGCTTCTTCTCCTCCAAAGGATCACAACTCCTCGCCAGCAAGGGAACAAACTGGACAGAGAGTGAGTGTGACGAATTGACAGGAGTAGGCTTCAGAAGGTGGATAATAACAAACTCCTCCAAGCTAAAGGAGCATGTTCTAACCCAATGCAAGGAAGCTAAGAACCTTGATAAAAGGTTAGAGGAATTGCTAACTAGAATAACTAGTTTAGAGAAGAACATAAATGACCTGATGGAGCTGAAAAACACAGCACAAGAACGTTGTGAAGCATACACAAGTTACCAATAGCCAAATTGATCAAGTGGAAGAAAGGATATCAGAGATTAAAGATTAACTTAATGAAATACAGCGTGAAGACAAGATTAGAGAAGAAAGAATGAAAAGGAATGAACAAAGCCTCCAAGAAATATGGGACTATGTGAAAAGACCAAATCTACGTAAATCTAAAGTGAAGACTTTAACTCACACCATGTAAGAAGACAGGAAGTTGGCTTACATGTGAATTCTCTGACCTCCAAAAGTTGCAATTTGGCATGAGGTAATCACAAAACAAACACATTTAACACTAGTATAAGCCCCTCTAATCTTATATATACTGGCCCATTTTAATTGTTGTCAAATGAAAACATTTTTTTTCCTCTGAAGTTAATTTCTCAATCTAAAAACAGAGATGTCTAAGGAAATTACCAACATTTTACAGAAATTCAAAACAACCTTAATCTTACTAACCCATTGGAGGCTCATCCAATTCATAAACATGATCTTGCAACTTAACATTTGGTTTTGTACCTTGTACACCTTGTACAGTTAACCAATGTAGAGAAAACAATCATCAAATAAGTGTTTATTTACTATGTTCCAGGCACCATTCTAGGTGTTTGGGTAAATATCAGTGGAAACGGACAGTTTCCTTATAGCATCTAGAGTGGTGGTAGTAGGGATAGAGGATAAAAACAAAGATAAAATTAGTTAAATTAGTACAAGGGCTAGAAAGGAAACAAAACAAGGTAATGACATAATAGTGATCGGGGTGGAGGTAGGTAACAGCTTTAGTCAAGGTGGTCAGGAACAAACCCCATGAGTGCCCTTTGACTAAAACCTGAATGCCAAGGAGGCAGTCATTGGACAACCTGGGAGGAAGACCCATGAAAATAACTAAGAACATAAAAATGAGGGTGAAAACTTGCAGTAATACTTCTAGAAATGTCTTCTATGCAAAGGGCAAGCAGGCAAAGGGGTTTCAAGACAAAGGGCAAACTCAGTGAATGATTGAATTACTAGAGTCTGGAGTATTTGCCCTGCAGCTTCTAGTGGACAGCCCAGCCCTTTCAGGCCAAAGGGCAAACTCTTTAGAGAAGCATTCATTATTCATCGCCCCATCTGCTTTATTTTTCTATTTCTTTTATTCTTAATTTTTGTGGGTACATAGTAGGTGTATATATTTATGGGATATATGAGATGTTTTGGTACAGTTATGCAATGTGAAATAAGCACATCATGGAGAATGGGGTATCCATCCCCAGCCCCATCTCCTTTAAAGGCCCATCTGCCACTCTGCCCAATGCTCTAGCCATTTCATTGCCTTGGACCAATATGCACACACCGCTGCCATTATCCATGCTGCTTCCTTTACTTGCAATGACTTTCCCCCAATCTTTATTGCCGGTTGAACTCCTAGTTTCAGAACTCAGCTGAAATGCCTCTTGTTGAGCACCTTCCCAGGCACCAACCCGCTTTCCCTGCCATCCCCTCAACCTTAGCTAATCATTCTGTCTCCTGAGATCCCACAGTACCTTGTGTTCATCCCTGTTATAGTTCTTGACACCTTGTGTCATCATCATCCAAATGTTTGTCTTCCCCTCTAGACCATGAACTAGATAGATCAAGCCATGGATCTTAAGCACCAATGCGTCCCCAGCCCTTGACATAACTCCAGGCCTATAGTAGGTGCTCAATATATGCTCACTGGATGATTGAATGACTAGGGTCTGGAGTATTTTTCCTACAGCTTCAAGCGGACAGCCCAGCTCTTCATGACCTAGGAAGACACTTCTATAGTTTTCGGTTTTGGTTTTTTGGTAATATGCTCCTCTAAAGTGAATAGCAATGGTCCTGTTGAAAGTTGTGAAGCAAAACTGGATGGACATTGACAGAAAGGAGGTAAAAGAAAAAAAGTAGAAATACTATAAGTATACAAAAACCATCTACCTGACTGTATTTGTTTTCACTAAGAAAGAGTAGAACCAGTCTTGGTGACAGCATTGCAGCAGGAAACAGGGGTGCTCCATTGGGCACCTTCCTCACCACAAGACTTCCATCAAATCCCCTATGTCTATTTTCTTGCCAGAGGCAATATCACTTCCTTCCCCAACTCCAAAGCTTAGAATATGTGGAAGTTTTGAACAAAGTGGGGATTTGCTCTAGATTAGGTGCTATCAGAAAGTGGGTGCAGTTCTGATTGGTATTTCGATAAATCTTATTTATAGAGAGGGGCTATTAGAACCAGGATAAAGCTGTAATTGGTAAATAAGTGGTACTCATTTTAATCAAGAGAAGCTAAGTTTAGTATTTTGTTTAGTATTTTGTGACTTCATTTTTCTCTGCTTGAATAAAATTATAAAGTGGCCTTGCTTTGTCTCTTTTTATCATGGACATAGAGTGATCCTGTCTGATGTTGGTGTTCTATGCAATTGTTTATATCCAGTAGGAGAATAAGATGGCTTAGCTGTGAGTGCCAGGTCAGCTCTGAATGTCAGGTGCTGCATTTTTTTTTTTTTTTGAGATGGAGTTTCGCTCTTGTCACCCAGTCTGGAGTGCAGTGGTGTGATCTCGGCTCACTGCAACCTCTGCCTCCTAGGTTCAAGCGATTCTCTTGCCTCAGCCTCCCAAGTAGCTGGGATTACAGGCACGTGCCAAAACGCCCAGCTAATTTTTATTTTATTTTTAGTAGAGATTGGGTTTCACCATGTTGATCAGGCTGGTCTCGAACTCTCGAGCTCAGGTGATCTGCCCGCATCGGCCTCCCAAAGTGCTGGGATTACAGGCGTGAGCCACCGCGCCCGGGCGTCAGGTGCTGCTTTTTTACCTCCATTCTCAATACACAATCCTTTCTCCCGACTAGACTGTGAGATTCTTCTTGCCAGAGGTGGTGGCACCTGCTTCTCTGTCCCTAGCAAGGTTTTACACAAGGCATTGAATGTAGGTGTTTAGTAAATATTTGCTGATTGATTCAGAGTCAGGAGGACAGGCTTGCCTGAATTTCAGAGACCCTCAACTCATAGCCATTTATTTATTTGGGTAATTAACCTTGTGCTGTCAAATTGCACCTGAAGCTGTATGTACAATAAGCATGCCTGTCTCAATTTCGGATTAAAGGTCAGAGGATGTTGGTTCTACTCCTGGCTCCTCCATTGAGTAGTATGACATTGGAAAGCCAGTTAACTACTCCAGGCCTTAATTTTTCCACTTAAAAAAGAATAAGCTTGGACTCAATAGCTAAAGGCCGTACCAAGCTCTGAAATTTGGGGAAAATGAGTTTTCTCTTGCATGTTTTCTACCTTTACAGAAAGTGCTAAAGCGTACATGGCCACACATCAGTACACAGGGGAAGAGTTACTCAATAAGTGGTGGTATAGGTGAGCTGTTCAAAATAAAAATCATCTGAGACTTTAATCTCACACTATGGATTAAGGAGCTAAAGGTAAACATTAAGAAGATCCCCAAAAAGAAAATATAAAATAAAAATTCTCTGTACAAGAAGATTTACAAATTTACAGTGAAGTCAAAACCATTAAAAAATTATTGTTAGACTTTTGGAACATACAAATGAAAAACTAAATACTTGGAAACATTAACCAACTTAGAAGGCAAAATCAAACTGGGAAAATATTTTCAACAAATAATTAATATTGTAAATATAATTCCATCTCATTCCATCTACCTATCTCACTCAAATCTTGACTGAAGTCAGGGTATTAGCCAGGGGAGTATATAACTCCATGTAGCTAGGAAAAAACGGATTCCTCCAAATCCAAATTAGAGGGTTCTCTGAAGGCCTGAGAGACTACAGTCATTCCTAGTTATCCATGGGGGATTTGTTCCAAGACCTCCTGCAGATACCAAAATCTGCAGATGCCCAAGTTCCAGATATAAAATGGCATAATATTTGCATATAACCTATGCACATTATCATGTATACTTTAAATCATCTCTAGATTATTTGTAATACCTAATACAATGTAAATGCTATCTAAATAGTTGTTATACTATATTGTTTAGGGAATAATGACACAAAGAAAGTCTGTACATGCTCAGTGCATATGCAAATTCTGAATATTTTGGATCCAGTTAGTTGAATCCACACATGCAGAATCCATAGATACAGAGGGCCAAATATACCTGACGGCTTCTCTCCAATAATTTAAGAACAGGGAAAAATTATTTTTGATGTAATCATATACATGTATAGTATTTTACAGTACAAAAAGGGTTTTCATCCCATTATCTTACTTGATTCTCAGATCAACCTTGGGAGGTAGCTAGAGAATCATTATCTTAACTTCACAAATGATAAAACTGAGGCATAGAAATAAATAACTTTCCAAACATCGCATCAGGAAGCAAATATTAAAGCAACTCCAGACCTCAGACTGGGGTTCTGCCTGGGTTTTGCTGTCTTAATAGTGAGTATTTTGGATTAGAAATTTTCCACATTGTCTTCCAGATTTAAACCAATGACTTGTGACAGCACCATGCCCCTTTTTTAGATGAAACTAGAGAAAAATAGAAGCACTGAAATTTGACTGAGTTGATGAAAGGAACAACAATGACCTGCTCAACTTGATGAGATTTAATGGTACTAATATTGCTCAATTTAATACATGAAATATGCTACCTGCAATTTTTTTCAGAGAGCAGTTGTAGTGTGACAAAAAATTTCATAGAATGAACACAAAATAACAGTTGATTTCTCCAAAATGTTCAGAATTACTTACTACTTGAATCTTGATTAAGCGGGTTTTGAAATCAACAAAAAGCCTTGGGCTGTTGCTTGAAATATCCTAGGAAGCCTGTCCTTTTGGTGTTTTGTTTAGTTTTTTTTTTTTAATTATTTTGAGACTGAGTCTCGCTCTGTCACCCAGGCTGGAGTGCAGTGGGGACATCTCAGCTCACTGCAACCTCCACCTCCCAGGTTCCAGCAAATTTCCTGCCTCACTGTCTTGAGTAGCTGGGAATATAGGCGCACACCCCCACACCCAGCTAATTTTTTGTATTTTTAGTACAGACAGGGTTTTACCATATTGGTCATGCTGGTCTCGAACTACTGACCTCAGGTGATCTGCCTGCCTCGGCCTCCCAAAGTGCGGCCTCCCAAAGTGCTGGATTACAGGCGTGAGCCACCACCCCCAGGCACTTTTGGTGTTTTTGATGCTTAGCTCTTATGAGATGACCTGGTCCTTTTAAAAAAAGTATCTCTTTTTTTCCCCATTATTTGGAGGTTTGAAGTGAATTTGGCAGGATTCATTAAACACCTTCCAGTGTCTGTCATTTACCACCTCAACACTCAGTGATGACTGCATCCATTTCAACTCTGCACATTCTTTTCTAAGTAGCTTTAACTACGTTAACTCAGTGAAATTCTTATGTCTCTTGGGAGGTTTTCACTACTGCTTAGCTATGAACTATATAACATTTTTATGACACTATCTCTACTGGCATGAGCCATTACTAGGTGGAAATAAGTGAACTCTGTGACCGCCTTGCAGTTCCCATGCTCCAGGGTGCCTCCACATGGGACTACTATAGTGTTGCTAATAATCATAAAATTAAAAGGGCAGGACTTGTGTGGACCTAAAGGGGTAGCCTTGGACACTAAGGCCTCATAGAAAAGGTAGAGCTCGGCCTGGCACGGTGGCTCATGCCTGTAATCCAAGCACTTTGGGAGGCTGAGGCAGGTGGATCACAAGGTCAGGAGATCGAGACCATCCTGGCCAACATGGTGAAACCCTGTCTCTACTAAAAATACAAAACCTAGCCAGGCGTGGTGGCATGTACCTGTAGTCCCAGCTACTCAGGAGGCTGAGGCAGGAGAATCACTGGAACCCAGGAGGCGGGGATTGCAGTGAGCCGAGATCTTGCGACTGCACTCCAGCCTGGGCAACAGAGCAACACTATGAAAAGAAAAGAAAAAGCTCTGGATTCTGGATTCTCAGTTCTAGAGCTTAAGGGCCTTGATCATTCATTGGACATAGAACATGTCAATCTGAAGTTTTCAGCAAATGAGCTTAGGGCTCACTGAGAGCCCCTCGTTGACCCTTCCGGTCCCGCCCCCTTTCGCCTGCCAACCAGAATCTTTCCCAACTTGTCTAAGTCCTCTCAGGCCAGCCTTGGTGGGAGGTTTCTAGGATTCGCTCCCTGCCCTTCCCATCTTAGGGTGTCGTCTGAGACAGACTCTTATTCCCTCAATAAAGAGAGAGACTCTTATTCCCTCAGCGGCCAGCTCCTCGCCTCCCCTCGGCCGTAGCCACCTCAGTGGTCACCGTCTTCACCGTGGTCGCCTCAGCCCGCTCGCCACCCCAGTTGAGGCGCTGCTGGTGTCATGTCTGCCACAGGGGACCGACACCCGACCCAAGGGGACCAGGAGGCCCCGGTAAGCCAGGAGGGAGCACAGGCCGAGGCGGCCGGAGCTGGTAACCAGGAGGGCGGCGACTCCGGCCCCGACAGCAGCGACGTGGTGCCTGCGGCCGAGGTGGTCGGAGTCGCAGGGCCCGTGGAAGGCCTCGGGGAGGAGGAGGGTGAGCAGGCGGCAGGCCTGGCCGCAGTCCCCCGGGGCGGGAGCGCCGAGGAGGACTCAGATATCGGGCCCGCGACGGAGGAAGAGGAGGAGGAAGAGGGGAACGAGGCGGCCAACTTCGACTTGGCGGTGGTCGCCCGTCGCTACCCGGCGTCGGGCATTCACTTCGTGCTCCTGGACATGGTCCACTCCCTTCTCCACCGCCTCTCTCACAACGACCACATCCTCATAGAGAACCGTCAACTCAGCCGCCTGATGGTGGGGCCACACGCTGCTGCGCGCAACCTCTGGGGCAACCTCCCCCCGCTGCTGCTGCCCCAGAGGCTGGGTGCAGGGGCCGCAGCCCGGGCGGGCGAGGGCCTGGGCCTGATCCAGGAGGCCGCATCGGTCCCAGAGCCTGCAGTGCCAGCTGACCTGGCCGAGATGGCCAGGGAGCCCGCGGAGGAGGCCGCAGAGGAGAAGCTCTCAGAGGAGGCCACAGAGGAACCAGACGCAGAGGAACCGGCCACAGAAGAACCGACCGCACAGGAGGCCACGGCCCCAGAGGGTAAGGAACGGGCTAGCGGCAGCAGCGGGGAGGCGGGGACCCGTGTGTCCCAGGGTTCTAGGCAGGGCCGCGGTGCGGGCATAGCTGGTGAAGCGGGTGGTGAAGGGGGGTCGGGGCCTCGGGTGGTGAAGCAGGAGTCGGGGCCCTCCTGAAACTTAAGGCAGAATGTGTCCCAATGAGTCGAAGCCCAATTCTCTAACGACATCTGTGGTTTTGAGAAAACTTGTCGCCCTCTACCAACCTATATTTGATAGGAGATCTGAGATCATCGGTGCCATTTGTGAGCCCGCAGATGAATGGCCGGGTAGATAGGGGTTCAGGAGGGAGCTCCGCAGGAAACAGAAGGGATGCGCCAAGGAAAAGAACAGGCAAATGGCAGGCATCCCTTTTAGTTCATGGCTTTTCAAAGTGTAAAGATTCGTAGAAAGTTGATCCCCCAAATGATGAAGTGATGCAGGAGCACTTGGTAAAAATGAAGCATTCAGGGGGGTGAGGAACCAATGAGCTTCACCATAGAATTTGTCTTTTGAGGTAAACAAATATTTTCCCAACAAAGTTCTGACCAAAACACCGTAGAATGAGATCGGACCCGATGATTCAGATCTCTTCTTCTCCAAAGAACTAGAAATAATCAGCCGCTTTGGGTGGGAGATTTACTGGAAAAAAGGGAAATACAGTGTCCCTGTGGAAATGATCAAGCAGCAGCAACGTGAGGGCCATGGAACTGTTGTGAAAACCAGTAGGAAGGTGCCCAGCTATTCCTTTCTTACTTAACTCTATCCTGCTTCTCCTGAGGGTGGAGTAGCTGAATGCCGCTGCTAGTTATAAATTGGGCTATATTTTCTGTGAATGTCTGGTCCCCATGTGTGTATTATTCTTCCCTAAAGAAGTCACTAAATCTCAGCCCGAAAAGTGGGATGAAGAGGCCCAAGATGCTGCAGGCGAGGAAGAGAAAGAACAAGAAAAAGAGAAGGATGCGGAAAACAAGGTGAAGAACTCCAAAGGGACCTAGACGCAGCAGAGGTGAAGCCAAGAAAATCCAGGTATCTGTGTATAGCTTTGAGAATCACTCAACTATTCCTGGCATTTACCTGTTGCAGACAGTTTTATTGAACAACAACAAAAATTCTCAGTAAGTTAAGTAAGAAAAAGTTTAAAATTAGTTTAAAAATTCAATTTAACTTACTTAAAATGTTACGAGAATATTCATGTACCTAGTAATATGAACTGCAGTGTGTTCTGAAATATACTTCTTGGCTACTCATTTGTTCATGTTGAGGTCTTTTGTCCTCTAGCTGCAAGACTACTAACAAGTGGCAGATGTATCAGACCTACTACCAGGACCAATATTTGTGTAGAAAACAGTTGCCAGACACAGCCGCTAACTTGGCTGGGCCACGCATTAGTTGGGCCTTCGTTACTTGACCACAGAAATGCAGGCTCCCGTAGTAACTAGGAGACAACTCAATGCCTTTTACAAAGTGACTACTTAAAAATAGCAAAAAGCTAAGAATTTCAAGTAGGACCACAATGAATGATTAATACCTAGATATTTATTTGGCTATATATTTTGGTATTTTATGTCACAGTCAGATGAAAAGAATGTGTGTTTATCACTGAATTGGTAATGAAGTCTTAAGGTATATCCATCTTTGAGTGTATTTAAATGGTTAACATTTTTCTTTCTTTCTTATTTATTTATTTATTTTGCATTTTCACAGCCGTATATTTCGTAACGGCTTCTTTCCCACATGGTAGATACGGAAACCAAGGGTCTGGGAGGGTAAGGGAGTATTATTTGTGGAACCAGCACAGGCTGTTGAAGCTTGAGAGATTTATTTAAATCCCAGAATGGCCCCTCATGTAAAAACAAAAGCAACAAGCTTTTCTAGTGCTAGGCAGACAAGGTTGGTGTGATCATTTGACTGAAACCTTCAGTTCCACAAGCACCCTGATATCCAAGCTCGTGAGTTACAAAAGGAAAAGATGGGCTTCTCTACTTGTTTAAGATATAGCACACAAATGTTGCAGATATACACAGAGCTGGCCATTTTCTTCTATTTAGAAAGTCACTGGTGCTGGTTAATGTTGTACTATTGTTTATCATCTCTCATTTCATCCCACAGTTGGGAGGAAAAGAAAGAAGACTCTGTTGTTCATTGTTTTTATCTTTTTCTCCAGATGCCTGTGGGAATTGTAACACATATCATTCCAAAGTTCGTTACATCAAAAGTGATATCCAGTGACATCTAACTTTCATGGATGTATGTGACAGTGTTCAAGTTAAAAAATAAAAGTTTGTTTTAAATGAATAAACTGAAACGTGGGAAGATTTTTCAATAAGTAATCTTAACTCAAATCTCTCCTTTACGTCTTTGTTTTGGCCCACCATACCTTCATTGAAAGATATTACTTTCCGCCATTTGGTAAGACTCTTTGAAATTCTTTCACTGCAGCCAAAAATCAAGTAAAATGACAAGTTTAAAACAATTTTTGAAAAGAGAGAGATGGGGCTCATCTTTAGAGCTGTGTGTTGTGACTACTGAGCACTTGTAATACGGCTAGTCTGATTTAATATGTGATGCAAGTGTGAAAATAATATTGCATATATTACTAATTTTTTTTTTTTTTTTTGAAACTGAGTCTCGCTCTGTCACCCAGGCTGGAGTGCAGTGGGGCCATCTTGGCTCACTGCAACCTCCACCTCCCAGGCTCCAGCAAATTTCCTGCCTCACCCTTCCGAGTAGCTGGGACTACAGGCGCGCACCACCATGTCCAGCTAATTTTTTGTATTTTTAGTACAGACAGGGTTTTACCATATTGGTCATGCTGGTCTCGAACTACTGACCTCAGGTGATCTGCCTGCCTCGGCCTCCCAAAGTGCGGCCTCCCAAAGTGCTGGATTACAGGCGTGAGCCACCACCCCCAGGCACTTTTGGTGTTTTTGATGCTTAGCTCTTATGAGATGACCTGGTCCTTTTAAAAAAAGTATCTCTTTTTTTCCCCATTATTTGGAGGTTTGAAGTGAATTTGGCAGGATTCATTAAACACCTTCCAGTGTCTGTCATTTACCACCTCAACACTCAGTGATGACTGCATCCATTTCAACTCTGCACATTCTTTTCTAAGTAGCTTTAACTACGTTAACTCAGTGAAATTCTTATGTCTCTTGGGAGGTTTTCACTACTGCTTAGCTATGAACTATATAACATTTTTATGACACTATCTCTACTGGCATGAGCCATTACTAGGTGGAAATAAGTGAACTCTGTGACCGCCTTGCAGTTCCCATGCTCCAGGGTGCCTCCACATGGGACTACTATAGTGTTGCTAATAATCATAAAATTAAAAGGGCAGGACTTGTGTGGACCTAAAGGGGTAGCCTTGGACACTAAGGCCTCATAGAAAAGGTAGAGCTCGGCCTGGCACGGTGGCTCATGCCTGTAATCCAAGCACTTTGGGAGGCTGAGGCAGGTGGATCACAAGGTCAGGAGATCGAGACCATCCTGGCCAACATGGTGAAACCCTGTCTCTACTAAAAATACAAAACCTAGCCAGGCGTGGTGGCATGTACCTGTAGTCCCAGCTACTCAGGAGGCTGAGGCAGGAGAATCACTGGAACCCAGGAGGCGGGGATTGCAGTGAGCCGAGATCTTGCCACTGCACTCCAGCCTGGGCAACAGAGCAACACTATGAAAAGAAAAGAAAAAGCTCTGGATTCTGGATTCTCAGTTCTAGAGCTTAAGGGCCTTGATCATTCATTGGACATAGAACATGTCAATCTGAAGTTTTCAGCAAATGAGCTTAGGGCTCACTGAGAGCCCCTCGTTGACCCTTCCGGTCCCGCCCCCTTTCGCCTGCCGACCAGAATCTTTCCCAACTTGTCTAAGTCCTCTCAGGCCAGCCTTGGTGGGAGGTTTCTAGGATTCGCTCCCTGCCCTTCCCATCTTAGGGTGTCGTCTGAGACAGACTCTTATTCCCTCAATAAAGAGAGAGACTCTTATTCCCTCAGCGGCCAGCTCCTCGCCTCCCCTCGGCCGTAGCCACCTCAGTGGTCACCGTCTTCACCGTGGTCGCCTCAGCCCGCTCGCCACCCCAGTTGAGGCGCTGCTGGTGTCATGTCTGCCACAGGGGACCGACACCCGACCCAAGGGGACCAGGAGGCCCCGGTAAGCCAGGAGGGAGCA